>NC_000001.11:232093212-232244727 GCF_000001405.40 Homo sapiens
TACACTCAACATTCTCTTTTTGGAGTTATCCATGTTTACAGCTTCAGTTTCTCTTTATGCATTTGTATCGCTGTATAGTATTCCACTATAGGCATATCTGAGAATTTAGTTATGCAATCTATGAAGAGGGAATGGCCATTTAGAATTTTCCAAATGCTTTTCTATAAACAGTTTTGTGCATATCCTTGTACATATGTGCAAGCATTTATCTAGCTCATATACATAAAAGTGGAACTGCTAGGTTGAAGAATATTCATATTTCAACTTTACTAGGTATTGCTAAATTACTCTCCAATGTTGGAGCAAACTTACAGGTCTACTTGCATGAGAATTTTCAATTTTCCAAATCCTCGTTGGCATTCGAGCTTTCTCATTGTGAAATATTTGTTCTGCCCTTTTTTTCTATTAGGTTTGTTCATTTCCCATTGTGTGTACCTATACATACATACATATATATCTAAAATGAATTTTATATACTTCTGAAATACTATAATTACATACCTTATGTATTTAAATTTTTATGTGTATATCTTATATATGGGTATATTTATATCTGTATTTATATATCTTAAGTACTAATCTTTTGCCAGTTGTGTGAGAAAACTTCATTACAAGCTTTGGCTTATAATGCTTTACAATGATTTTTAATATAAGGACATTTAAAATTTTAAAGCAATCAAATATGTCAGTCTTTTCCATTTTGTTTAAGAAACACTTTTTTTACTTAGAAGTGACAGAATATTCCCCTATATTTTCTTCAAAAGCTTAAAGTTATATGTTTCGTATTTGGTCTTTAATATATTTAGGATTTTGTGGTGTGAGACAGGATATCTAAATTTATTTTAGTCCACATGGATAATCAATTATCACAGCATCTTTATTATAAAATGTATTCTTCACCTATAAGTTATAATGCTACTTTTATCCCTGTATCATATTTCAGTGTATGTTTAGGTCAGTTTCCGCGTTCCCTACTGCGTAACATCAAACTCTGCATTTAACCATATTGCTAAACTCTCATATTAATCTGGATAAATTGCCTAATGTTTCTCTTATTATCTATGATAACATTTTAACTGAAAATAAGGACATATTTTTCTTTTTCTTTCTTTTACCCCTTGTTTCTTTTCTAACTGTACGTTTGGAACCTCCAAGGGCAGTGCTGAATCAAAGCGGTGATGTGGGGGCGGTCTCTGTCTTCCCGACCTCTAAGTCTGACTGTTCTGCATGATGTTTTCATAGGTTTTTGATGGATATAATTTATCATGGTAAGACAGTTCCCTTCCACTTTTAGTTTGCAAGGAATTTTTACAATAAATGAATGAGTTTTGAATTGTATTTAATACTTTTTCCATATCCTTGGGATAATTGTAGTATTTTTCTTCTTTAATCTACAAAAGGGCAGGAATTTTGTCTTGTTCAGTATTTAACCTCTCATGCCTACTAACACTACTGGTGCATAATAGCTACTCAACAAAGTCTGGTTGCATAAATAATTTTTTAAAAAACATGAAAACCTATATTTTCATGGCTGGCAATGGGAAAAAAATGTCCTTACAGGGATACAGAGTGATAGTATGCTGCTAATTTCTAGCCTAAATGCACTCTCCTCTTCTGACCTCTAACTCTTTCAGGATCAGGGAGGCCTCAGGGAGGGCAGTGGACCTTCTCTAACATTGATCCCAAATAGTTGAACCTAGGGGAGAGAGAGAAAGCTGCCTTTCACTCTAGCACTGTCAGGCATGAAATACATACTACTCTTAATTCCCTGCAGTATAGTTACAAAGAGATTTTTAAAACTTGACCATGTGCCTGTGTAAGGAAATTGCAGTATAATAAGTGACTTGCAATAACAGCCTCCTTCTCTCCATCCTCCTGGAGTCTTCTTGTGACAGAGACTTTATCTTGGAACCTTGGTATGGCTTTCTGCATGGCAGTTGCTTTCTGAAATTGTTTGCACGATTTTACGTGCACACCTCGGCATTTCCATTGTCAACATTCTATGCCACAGGATGCTAAAAAGGACCTTTTCCTACTCTTCATGATTTGCTGAAAACCATGTGATATTTAGACCTTATCTTTCTTAGACAGTTTGTCATCATTGTTTTCCTCAGTTTTTGATGCCATTTTGATTCCGTCCAACATCTTTTAGCAAATGTCAGTTGGATTCTCATTTCTCTGTAAGTATAGAACTATTTTTTTCCTCCCTTTTTCTCTTTCTCAAGGCTTTTATGATCATATCTTTATCCCTTGTGTCCTGGGATGTCATATGATGTTTCTAGACGTGGGGATTTTTCATTTATATGACTTTCCGTTGAGAGATTTGTGTCTTTCATGAGTTTAGGGGTTTTTCTTATGTCATTTTCTTGATAAAGTATTTGTTTTCTTGGCAATCTCTTCCTGGGACTTTTTTTTTTTAATGTCATTATTTTAAACTGACACACAATAATTGTACATATTTACAGGGTACATGTGATATTTCTTTTCTCTTTTTTTTTTGTGTGTGTGTGATGGAGTCTGTCTGTGTTGCCCAGGCTGGAACGCCGTGGCACCATCTTGGCTTGCTGCAAACTCTGCCTCCCAGGTTCAAGTGATTCTTCTGCCTCAGCCTCCCAAGTAGCTGGGATTGCAGGCATGCACCACCATGCCCAGCTAATTTTTGTATTTTTAGTAGAGACAGGGTTTCACCATGTTGGCCAGGCTGGTCTTGAACTTCTGACCTCAGGTGATCCACCCACCTTGGCCTCCCAAAGTGCTAGGATTACAGGCGTGAGCCACCGCACCCAGCCGATATTTCAATACATGTATACAATGTATACAATGTGTAATAAGCCAATCAGAGTAATTAGCATATCCATCACCTCAAACATTTATTGTTTCTTTGTGTTGGGAACATTCAAAATCTGCTCTTTTAGCTATTTGAAAATATATAATAGACGTTGTTTGTGAGAGCCACCCTAGAGTGTTATGGGGCAGTAGGACTTATTTCTCTTATCTAGCTGCACTTTTGTGTCCACTCATCAACCCTTGGCTTTTAATAGCTTTTAATAGCGGGGTCTTGGGCCATCTTCACATATTTTTCGAGACGGAGTCTCGCACTGTCCTCTGGGCTGGAGTACAGTGGCGCAATCTCGGCTCACTGCAACCTCCACCTCCTGGGTTCAAGCAAATCTCCTGCCTCAGTCTCCTGAGTAGCTGGGATTACAGGCACCTGCCACCGTGCCTAGCTAATATTTTGTATTTTTAGTAGAGACAGGGTTTCACTGTGTTGGCCAGGCTGGTCTCAAATTCTTGACCTCATGATCCATCTGCCTTGGCCTCCCAAAGTGCTGGGATTACAGGCATGAGCCACCATGCCTGGCCCACATCTCTTAATCGCTTATTTGTCCCATCTCTTGATAATTTGGGTTTACATTCTGGGAGATGACTTTGACTTTGCCTTCCAATCCTCATACTAAATTGTTCCTATTTTGGCACTCATATTTGTTAAATTCTAAAACCTTTTCACCTTCTGATTGCATTTCTTTGTCATTTGTGGATACAGTAACTTATATAATCCCTGGGAATTACACTTATTTTGGTTACTTTCTGAGCCTTCCATTAACTCATTTATTCCAATGTCCTTTTTCCCCCTATTTGTTTGTTTTGGTCCTCTTGTGGTCTTGACTTCTTGAATATCTTGTGGTCTTCAGTCATCTGGCATTCCTGTCCTTCCGAAGAATGAAGCAAGAGAAATGCTGACAGCAGCCTTGTGCATGTGGCAGGCCTGTGGACAGTGTCATAACCTCAGGGGCCTGAAAGCCAAGGGCTCTTCCCAAGGATGCAGCACTCCCAGGCCATACCCCTTCCTCACAGGCCTAAGAGAAAGGTGAACCTCATTCCGCCTGAGGTTGGGTTCGCCCAGAAGCAGACTCTGAGGCAAGGCTTTAGGATGATGAGAACACTTTATTGAAGAAGTTCTCCCAGGGGAAACCTGTTTGAGAGTGAGGGGTACAGATCAGGAAGGAGGAAGAGGCCAAGCACAGGTGAGCTTTCTGGTGAAGCATCAGGCTCGGCCTGAGTTCGTGGGGAGCTCTGGAGGGCAAATGACATCTCAGAGCTTGTCCTGCCTCAAGGCAAGGGAGCTGGGCTTTTGTACCACCCACAAAACATCTACTGGCTGCCCTGGGGGAGGAAGGAAGACATAAAGGGCATGCGGGGGAAGGCTGCTCTAGCACCCAATGTGGACTCTCTAAAGTTACAGGTACGGCTCGTGGTAGCAAAGCTGGTAGAAGCAGGGCTTTGGGGGCTGCAGCCACAGACAGGACCTAAGGGGACCTGGACAGAGTGAGCTCCAAGAGTATGTGTACCAGGCCCCCGACCTGCAGCATCTACCATTCTGCATGTTGGCCTTTTCTCAAGCTCTGTGGAGATGCATTTCCTCATTTATAAGTCAGGCACAAGGGTGATATTGTAAGAATTAGTGCATCTGTGTCACATAGTGAAAAAAAGAATGATCTAAATGGCTGCCTTTGGTATCCTCTTTGGGGAAAAGCATCTTTGAAAGCATTCACAGAAAAGCCCACAAGATGGGTAAGACCCTGAGAATGGCTATGTCAGCAGGCTCCAAATCACTAGAGGAGAAAGGAAGGGGCTCTGCAGAAGAAAGGGGGAGTGATTTGATATTTTGCTATTAAAAGGAACTGAACACCAGGGATGTTTACAGCAGGTTTATTTGTAATTGCCAAACTTAGAAGCAACCAAGATGGCCTGCTGTATGCAAATGGATAAGCTGCAGTCCACCCAGATAAATAAAATATTATCTAGCAATAAAAAGAAATGAGCTATCAAGCCACAAAAAGAGATGGAAGAAGCATCATTGCATAGCATTTACTGAAAGAGGCCAATCTGAAAAGGCAATATGCTGTGAGATTCTAACTATTTAACACCCTGGGAAAAGCAAAACTGTGGAGAGGATCAAAAGAGCAGGGGTTGTCAAAGTTGTGGGGAGGAAGAAATGAATAGGCAGAGCACTACTATTTTTAGAGCAGTGCAATGATTGTGTGATTCTATAATGGTAGATACAGGTCATTATACATTTGTCCAAACCTAATGAATGTACAGCAACAAGAGTGAACCCTAATGTAAACTGGGTTCACTATGAATTTTGGGTGATGATGATGTGTCAGCATAGGTGTATCCACTGTAACAAATGGACCACTCTGGTTGAGATGTTGATAATGGGAGAGGTTGTGTGTAGGGCAGGGGAGGGGGGATATGAGGTACATGGGAAATCTCTATACTTTCTGCTTAATTTTGCTGTGTTGGGCAGTGTAAGCCACCCTTAAAAAACAAAGTTTATGTTTGGCTGAGTGTGGTGGCTCATGCCTGTAATCCCAGCACTTTGGGAGGCTGAAGCGGGCAGATTACCTGAGGTCAGGAGTTCAAGACCAGCCTGGCCAACATGGTGAAACTCCATCTCTACTAAAAATACAAAAAATTAGCCAGGTACGGTGGTGCACACCTCTGATCCCAGCTGCTTGAAAGACTGAGGCACGAGAATCACTTGAACCTGGGAGGTGGAGGTTGCAGCAATCTGAGATTGTGCCACTACACTTCAGCCCAGATGACAGAGCAAGACTCCATCTCAAAAAAAAAAATTAAGTTTATTTGTAAAAAATCAATCAATCAAAAAAAATGGACCTGAGTGGAGGAAAGAAGGAGAGATGGGAAAAGGGGAGCTTGCAGATGCAGGGTGATGGAGGCTGGATAAGGGGCGAATCACAAGTGACGGGATGGCACTGAGCAGGCTTCCTCTGAAGTGCTGTAGCTGAGAGGTAAGCCCATCTTCCTCTCAAACTTCATTTGTTCAACTCAGCACCTGGCTGCCTTGGGTGCTGTCAGAGATAAGTCTTACTTATGGAGACTGAGCAGGAGTTTTGGTTCCTGGTCTGAGCCCAAAATACGCCTAGTGCGGCAATGTGCTTGGAAACAGTCCAGCGTAGCCATGAGAAGAAAAGCTGCTGGAGAATTTGAAGAACACTTGGAGAGGGCTTTGGGAATTTCAAGCCAGTGTTGTCGAGCTCTTCAAGGGTCACTGAGGACCCCTCACTGTCTTAGGTTGTAGAGCTAAGAACACTGTGAACCACAAGGGACGTGCAGATGGAGAGGGGAATTAGCATCTGGATTAGGAGCTTTGCGATCTTCAAAGAGCGATGCTGCCCATCTTTCACTCCAAAACCCGGAGGAGTGATGAGGACATCCATTCATTCTTGCTAGTTCCCTAAATGTCAAGGGAACAGGGTTAAGAGGGACCCAGGTACATTCAGCCCCTGACACAGATGTCTACTGTCTTCCTTGGGAAACTGATTAGGTCACCCTGACTATCGGGGGAACCAGCCACCAATATTTCAACACAGGTTCTTTCTGTTTTCCCTAAGTGTCTGCCAGTCTGAGAAATAAAGAGAAAGAGTACAAAGAGAGGAATTTTACTGCGGAATTGGGCCACCAGGGGTAACACCCATATTGGTAGGTCCATGATGCCCCCCTGAGCGGCAACACCAGCAAGTTTTTATTAGGGATTTCAAAAGGGGAGGGGATGTACGAACAGGGAGTAGGTCACAAAGATTACATGCTTCAAAGGGCAAAAAAGGAGAACAAAGTTCACATGCTTCTGAGGCCAATAAAGATCACAAGTCAAAGGGCAAAGCAAGATCACAAGGCAAGGGCAAAATTAGAATTACTGATGAGGGTCTATGTTCAGCTGTGCACGTATTGTCTTGATAAACATCTTAAACAACAGAAAACAGGGTTTGAGAGCGGAGAACTAGTCTGACCTCAAATTCACCAGGGTGGGATTTTTTCCCCACCCTAATAAGCCTGAGGATACTGCAGGAGACCAGGGCGTATTTCAGTCTTTATCTCAACTGCGTAAGACAGACACTCCCAGAGCGGCCGTTTATAGACTTTCCCCCAGGAATGTAATTCTTTTCCCCAGGAATGTAATTAAGGGTCTTAATATTTAATATTCCTTGCTAGGAGAAGAATTTAGTGATATCTCTCCTACTTCCACATCCGTTTATAGGCTCTCTGCAAGAAGAAAAATATGGCTCTATTCTGCCCGACTCCGCAGGCAGTCAGACTTTTGGTTGTCTTCCCTTGTTCCCTAAAATCGCTGTTATTCTGTTCGTTTTCAAGGTGCACTGATTTCTTATTGTTCAAACACACGTTTTGCAATCAATTTGTACAATAGTGGCCCTGAGGTGACGTACATTCTCAGCTTACGAAGATAACAGGATTAAGAGATTAAAGTAAAGAAAGGAATAAGAATTTATAAGAGTATTAATTTTGGGAACTGATAAGTGTCCATGAAATCTTCACAATTTATGTTCAGAGATTGCAGTACATACAGGCATGAGAAATTATAAAAGTATTAATTTTGGGAACTGATAAATGTCCATGAAATCTTCACAATTTATGTTCCTCTCCCACGGCTCTATCCAGTCCCTGCTTTTGGGGTCCCTGACTTCCCGCAACATCTGACAGCATTCTTGGTGGTACCATTCCCTCCAGAATCTGCACCATCACATGCAGAAAAGAGCAAAAAGCCTTGAAGAAAATATCTTACTTTTTGTAGACCAATCCCAAGTAAAAGAGGAGTGGATTGACTTTCAGATAAGATAATTATTCCAAGAAATAACTTTAAAATACATTTTGCACTGCAGAGTTGGAAAAACGTTGTTATGTAGATGAAGATGAAATCGGAATGTCCCATATGGGAGCAGGTGGTATGCCTCCTTCTACCTCCACTTAAGGAAGCTGCTTGGTGGATCCATGATAAGTGAGTGAGGGAAGGTAGAAGAGAAGAGGCTAGAAAAGATTTGGAAAGATGATTGAAGGTGCACAGACAAAGGTTGGATCTTTGTCCCTCCACCTGCTAATCCTGTGACCCCTGGGCAAGTGAAGCAGCATCCTGCACTTCAGTGTGAATGCAGCTCAGCATGAACTAGACAGCAGAATAAGAAAACCTACTTTGTGGAACTCCTGTGAGGATAAAAACATACTGCTTAGAATGCACTAGCACTGTTTTAAAACTCTCCATTATGAAAGACATCAATTGTTCAATTTATACCCTTAGTTTTGGCATGAGAGCATTGCAAAAGTAACTTAAGTGTCTTGCTGGGACCTTCTGATGAAAGTTTCACTGTAGAAGAGAATTTGTCCCTTGGCTTTATGTTCAGACTGCAGCTCTAAAGCCAAGTGCATTGAACAATAGTATGTGTGTGTTTACGCCCTCTGAGTTCTGATTTCTCTCATTTTTCTGGTTCCTTCACTTGATATTTTGCCATAACACATCCACAATTATTCCAAACAGAGCTGTAACAAAAGTTAGGACCTCAAGGAAAATGCAGCTGTCAGGTGCTGCAGTGTTCAGATGGGTTACTCGCAGACTTTTCTACCTGTGTGTGAGCACAAAGGTCAATTGCATTCTTTTAGGTAAGCTGGTTAATTCAAAGGGGTCTTTTCTAAGTTACTAGGATGCTATAAGACATTGATATAGTTTGGCTATTTGTCCCCTCCAAATCTCATGTTAAAATGTAATCTCCAGGCCGGGCACGGTGGCTCACGCCTGTAATCCCAGCACTTTGGGAGGCTGAGGTGGGTGGATCACCTGAGGTTGGGAGTTCGAGACCAGACTGACCAACATAGAAAAACCCTGTCTCTACTAAAAATACAACATTAGTGGGGCATGGTAGCGTATGCCTGTAATCCCAGCTACTCAGGAGACTGAGGCAGGAGAATCACTTGAACCCAGGAGGTGGAGGTTGCAGTGAGCTGAGATAGATAGCGCCATTGCACTCCAATCTGGGCAACAAGAGCAAAACTTTGTCTCAAAAAAAAAAAAAAAAAAAAAAAAGAAATGTAATATCCAGTGTTGGAGGTGGGGCCTGGTGAGAGGTGATTGGATCATGGGGGTGGACACTTCATGCACGGTTTAGCACCGTCCCTTTAGGAATAAGTGAGTTCTTGCTCTGAGTTCACGAGGCATCTGGTTGTTTAAAAGTGTGCGGGTTTTCCCATTTACTCTCTTGCTTCTGCTCTCACTGTGTGCTGTGCCTGCTCCCGTTTTGCCTTCTGCCATGACCAAAAGGCTCCTGGGGCTCTCACCAGAAGCAGATGCTGAAGTCATGCTGGTACAGCCTGCAGAACCATGAGCCAATTAAACTTCTTTTCTTTATAAATTAGCCAGCCTTTGGTATTCTTTTATAGCAATGCAGGAACAGCCTAATACAAGCCTTTTTGTGGTAAGTCTAGGACACTGGGGTAAAGGGCTTTATTCTTAACTATTTACTATGTAATTATATATATGTTGCATAGATGTAGTAGGTAAGGTGGACCTAAATATGTGTGAAAAATGTCTACTCTCATGGAACTTATTTTTTTATTTTTTTAATTTTAATTTTTATGTATTTATTTATTTTTGAGATGGAGTCTCGCTCTGTCGCCCAGGCTGGAGTGCAGCGGCATCATCTCGGTTCACTGCAAGCTATGCCTCCTGGATTCATGCCATTCTCTTGCCTCAGCCTCCCGAATAGCTGGGACTACAGGCGCCCGCCACCACCCCCGGCTAATTTTTTGTAGTTTTAGTAGAGACGGAGTTTCACTGTGTTAGCCAAGATGGTCTCGATCTCCTGACCTCGTGATCCACTGCCTCAGCCTCCCAAAGTGCTGGGATTACAGGCATGAGCCACTGCACCTGGCCCATGCTCATGGAACTTAAAAAGCAGTAAGGAAAAGATGAATAAACACATGAAACCATCAGCAAATAATGTGCGATGGTATCTAATTAAGTTCTAATTAGCTTTGGGAGCATTTACCAGAATTATTCATCATGAACTCTAGCAAAATTTTTTCTCCCTGCCAGCTCTAAATAATTCTTCATCTCAGCTAGTCTTTGTTACATACCAAGCATCATGCATGTTTCTTTGAGGCCATCTGAAAAAACACAAGACACCTCGAATGAAGAAGGTAATTATATCTGTGGGACTATGGAATTTGTATTTATGAAATAGGTAAATAAACTGTGCAAAACCCAGCATTCATTTTGGAAAGAGACACTAAGTAAAGACAGCAAGCCTAGAAAGGCTGTGGTGTTGTTGCCACTGAGATTGTATGTGTATAGTGAAGGGTATTTTATGGCAAGTGGTGACAACTGTTATAGCTTTACTTTATTCTAGTTAACTTCTTAAATAACAATAAAATGAGAGCCAAAATTTACCAAGCTCTTTCTGGGTTCTTGACTGCTGCGGGGACCCCTTGGCTAGTTTCACAAGTGTGTATAGGTGGAGTGATTTTACCCAGGGTTAACTAGCCAGGCAGAAAAGGATTGGCATAAATTTCTTTCTCTTGGGTGGAAGATACTGGAAATCCTATTTTAAGGAGTCGAGGTCTTAACAGAGTCTTTACATAAAATACACAAAAGAAAGCCCAATGAGAAGGAGAACACACCTCTACATCATGGTTCTGCATCAGTGATCTAATATGAAACAGAGGCCTGGCTCTCCTACATGGTGCATGAAGCACTGGAAGATCCATTTCCTATAGGTCTTGCCTCCAGGTATGAGAACACCAAAGCTTGCAAAAATCAATTGTGGATCTGCATTTTTTTTCAAGTATTCCTTTGTTTTCCAGACCTGAAATTGCAATGACGTTCTCACTGGAAATACTTAAAACAATCCTTCCCACATCTCTAACAAGAAGTATTAAGAGATCTCTGGGAATAGTTCCTAAGGTTAAACCCACCTATTCTCTTTTCACACTTTGTAGACTCCAAGTGCCAACAAAGCCTCCTCTGCCTGCAGTTAAAATGGTTTTCTGATTTCAGAAGACTTTTTCAATCAGGCTAGTCTTCTGAAATATGGCTCTTCTTTTAACCAATCCATATATTGTGTATATCAGCAATCTCTCTTTCTTGGAGGAAGCATGTAAGAGTCAAAATTAGTTGAGATCCCAGATTTTTTAAGTTTAAACCTCATCTGATCCCCATGTCATACCCCTCACTCCATCAAACCTTGTCCAACATCAAAGAAGAAAACTGGGCCTCAGACTTGCCAAGAATTAGATGGAAGATGGAAGTTTCTAGGATAAAGTCCAGGTGAGACCGACCTTTAGAAGTCCTAGGCATCAAAAAGTTTGCATGCCAACTACTAACACTCAACTCCCCAGTGCACAAATAAACACAAATGCAATGCAAAATCATAAAATAAGCATGAAGAGGTCTAACAAAATTTTGATTTTTCCCACACTGGTAATTTTGATTCCTCTATTTTTTGAGATTTCAGCTCTCAAGTTCTTAATAGTCTTTGAATGATCTTGCTTTGCAGTTGCATTTAGCCGATGCGGGGACTGCTGAGTAACAAGCAAAATCCGGGTCTTTTGTCTCCTGGTTCGTTACCATTCTTGCTGCAGCTCACCTCCGCTCACAGCCACACTCCACAAATTGTGTACCCTTTCTTGTTTCTGGCCGTGGCCTTGGGTCTGGCTGCAGAGTGTGTCCCATTGCGATGTTTCCTGCAAAGCAGGGTGGGTTGCTCATTCATTCATTCATTGCAATACTCCAAAGCAGGCTTCCTCCAAAGTAGGGCAGTCATCCAAGGCTTCAGATGATTGTCCTTATCATCATATGTTGTGGCCCTCTACCTGTCACTGGAGTTCCTACTGAGCAGAAATAGGATTAGAACTCCTTTTTTGAGTTACAAATTGCTTGTCCCCCTAAGTTTGTTGTTTCTTCTTTCTTCTCTCTTTTTCTTTTTTTTTTGAGACAGAGTTTTGCTCTTGTTGCCCAGACTAGAGTGCAATGGTGCAATCTTGGCTCACTGTAACCTCCACCTCCCAGGTTCAAGCGACTCTCCTACCTCAGCCTCCCGAGTAGCTGGGATTACAGACATGCACCACCACACCTGGCTAATTTTTTGTATTTTTAATAGAGACAGGGTTTCTCCACGTTGGTCAGGCTGGTCTCAAACTCCGAACCTCAGGTGACCCACCCACCTCAGCCTCCCAAAGTGTTGGTATTACAGGCATAAGCCACCGTGCCCAGACCCCCCTAAGTTTCTTTACAGTGGTTCCCCTGTCTCTTCTTCTGCCAGTGTATCTTTGTGGGAGACAGAAGACAGACAAGTATCAAAATGGCCATCCTAGATGCTAAACAGGAACTGGCTTTTCAGAAGTACTATATGTTTGCTTGTTGAAATAAAAATCATAAGCAAGAAAGAGGTAAACGAAAGTTTTTAAAGCACTCAACATTCTTCTTTCTTTCTGCTTGAAGCATACCAGACCTAAGGACAGTTTGATCCACGACAGGTACTGAACACTAAGACATTCCGGAGCTGTAAGAACGGTTAGGCCACAGTCGGGGAGAGAAAAGATAATCCACCTAAACCCACTGTGATGCTCAGCAACCAGAGGAAGAGCAGGCAGAAAGCAGCTTTGTGTCCAGACTTCTGAGGGGATGTCACCCTTTGAAGATCCTTTCAAGTTCAAAGCACAGGGGGCTCAAATGATTCCAACACAGGCAAGGAAATAAATATCTATAAACACACACGTCGGCCAGAGCTGTGCACGTGAGGCACACAACAGAGTGAGTTTTTCCAGGCTTAAGCTCTATTGTTCCCCACCCCCAACCTCAAAGCATCGAAGCATAAAAATCCAAATGAAGAAACTCACTCTAGCTTTGTGTGCAACTTCCAGGACACTCTTTTATCACTAGGTAACAAAAGAAAACCCTGAGACAGCACAGCAAGAGTGGTCTGGCTGATTATTTGCTCACTATTGATAGGGGGCCCACGGAAGACTTTGGCCCCATTGCTGCCCTTCACCTGCAGAGCAGGAGGCTGCAGTGGAGCCATCCAACTCCGCCAAGAGCTGGGTCCTGCAGCATTTTTCAAGCGATTAGCAATAGCAGTAGAGCATAATAGCTAAGTCCTTGGCTCAAGTTCTGGCCTGTTCACTACCTGGATGATCTTGGGCAAGATGTATAACTTTTCTCAAACTCAGTTTCCTCTTGTGTGAGATGGAGATATTCATAGTAAGAGTGCCCACCTCACAGGGTTAATGTGAGAATGGACAGGAATTCTGATGATGCACAAAGACGGCAGGGTACACCACAGTAAGCATTTGAATGGTCACTGCTTAAATGTTTGCGGTTGTTATCAGCTTCTTCCTTCCAAATCAAACTGTATTGATTTAATCAGTGTCAACACGATGACTTAACAACCTATCGATTTGGTCAAGTCAGTAAAAACAATCAGTCAAGCTGGTTGCTTGACATTTAGTAGATGAAAATTGACATTTTCTTCCTCCCATTTCAGGGTATGATGTCATCTAGCTGCAGACTTCAAATTCATGATTTCTGCTGCGATCAGATGGAATATTCATCTGCAGCACTTTGTGGGTGAAAAGAGGGGTGGACAAGTGCTGTGTATAATTGTGTGTACCAGGCACAGTGCCTGATGAAGACACTTGCAAGCAATGGTTCAGCTCATAGCGTGTGCTTGCTAAGATCCCACCTGCACACATATTCCTGGGACAGAAGATCAGGGCCTCTGGGGTCAGGGTGCTGATAGAGTATGTTTCCTTGTGAAGGCACCCATCTACCTGAGGGTTAGGAGTGACTGTGCTTGGGGCTGGTCACTGGCTTCCTAATTTAGGTTAAAACTGGTTTACTAAGAAGGTCAAAATACAAAAGGTCTAAATCCTCAGTTAGAGCTTTGCCCACCTTATAAAACCTTAGAGGGAGAATGGATTATACAACTATAAAGTATTTTCCAGACACAGGATTCCATGAGTATTTATGCAAAATGTTAATCCAATAAGCTGAGCTTCAAAGGCCACACATATGTTGGGTTGAAATCACGGTGGGTCACCAGTAGCTCTGTGACTTTAGGCAAGGGAATTATTCCATTAAAGCTTAGTTTTCACATCCATCAAATGGAGATGCTGTCTACCATAAAGAGTGATTTCTAAGTTACTATCTGTCAAAGTTATTTAAGGCTATTTTAGACTGCACTCTAATATAGGTATAATCAAAGCAATGAATGTAGACATAGATGCTAAAAACTCATAAGATATCTTCATATGCAATAAGGGGCCTGTTAAATACATTAGATACACTGGAGAATGGAATATAGTGCAGTCATTAAGGGTAATTGCTTTTCTTTCAGTTAGTATAAGCATTTTTTCAGGTCCATCTATATCTGTATATACAGATAGTACATACTAATCTGTACAGTATTAGTATGTACTATCTGTATATACAGATAGCATATACTATCTGTATATGCTATCTGTATATATAGATTAGCATATATTATCTGCATATACAGATTAGTATAAACATCTTTTCATGTCCATCTCTATATAGATGGACATGAAAAGATGTTTATACTAACTGAAGGAAAAGCAGATTACAAAGTAATAATATATTTAGAATGTGACCTTTACGAAGTATTTGACTCTTGAGCCCTAGGCTCAAGACCCTGACATGAGACGACCATAGCATTGCTGTCGCCTTCCATTTTATTCCCCCCACCTCCAATTTTTCACATCGTAGTGATGTATTAGAAATGTATGTATGATTATATAATTGCCCTACTTAATATCAAACCAGAGGCTCCCATGAGTGGCAGAGTAAAGCCTCAGTTCCCTCTCTACCCTAAGCCTACCATTCCCACCCCGCCCCACCCTACCACTTCAGGAACCTCATGCCTTTGCCTGGAATATCATCCCTCTTCCTCAACCTACAAATTCTTATCCATCTTTCCAGCCTCAACTGATAAATCTCCACGAAGTCTTCTTAAATGCATTTTTCCTCTGCCTCTGTCCTCAGCCTTCCAACTCTCACTCGTCACTCCAGAAAAGTTAGAGACTTTTCTCTGAATCCACACTCATTTCACTCTGTAACACCTGTCTAAGTATCCTTCACTTATTGGTTTACAAGTCTACTTCTCTCACAAAATTAGGAATATTAGGGAATCTATTGCATTCACTTTTTTAGTATTCTCAGCATTTAGTAAATGTTCAATAAATATTCCTTTGATGAATGAATAAATTCATGCTTTAGTAAATTTAAATTGACTTCCAGAGCTGAAAGAAATTTTCAGATCATGATCATACTTTTTCTTTTCCTCCCCACCCTATTTGTAAAACAAAGAAAAAGGAGAGTTGCAGACTCTTAGAGGTTGAGATTTTCTCTCTAAAGATGATGACCACTTATTAATTTATTCAGCAAATACCAGTTGAGTCCCTACTGTGGGCTGACACTGGTTGGGTTACTTAGGATATAGCTACGAACATGCAGACAAAAAAATCTCTGCCATCATGGAGCTTACACCTCGGCAGGGAGACAATGTACACCATTAATAAGTCACTTACCTGGTAGGTTAGTGGTGATGCAGTGGGAAAAAGAGAGCAGGCTAAGGGGAACCAGGAGAGCTGGGAGCCAGAGCAGATACAAT
This sequence comes from Homo sapiens, assembly GCF_000001405.40. Lineage (NCBI taxonomy): Eukaryota > Metazoa > Chordata > Mammalia > Primates > Hominidae > Homo > Homo sapiens. Next base: position 232,108,707 of record NC_000001.11, read on the forward strand.
TTTAAATACGGTGACATTTGAGCAAAGATGTCAAGGAAGTGTGGGAATGAGTCAGGCGGATATGAGTAGGAAGGGACAGCAGGGAGAGAAGCCAGCCCACACCAGGTTTGGCTGTGGAGGCCCCAGGGTTGGGGACAGTAGAGTAAGTTGGGGGAGGGTAGTGAGAGGTGTGTCAGAGCTCAGAGAAGTAAGGCTGGGAGGCGGGGAGGCCACATTAGGCTGGACTTTGTAGGCCATTTTAAGGATTTTTGCTTTTGCTCTGAATGAAGTCAGGAGCCCTTGGAATGCTCAAGGCAGAGGCATGGCATGGTTTGAATTATGTTTTAAAATATTACCCTGGCTGCTAAGTACAGACAGCAGAACGTAGAGAACAAATAGGGAGCCTGGTTAAGAGGCTATAGTCAATCATTCAGGCCAGAAATGGTGTGTCTTAGATCAGACAGTAGCAGTGGGAGTTGGGGAAAGGAGTAGAATATATGTATATATAAGTTGTCTCCTCCCACCCATATTGGCATAACTCATTCCCATGCCTCACACACACATACATGCACATGCACATATGTAAGAGAATATATCTAGGTGGTAGAGCCAATGAGATTTCCTATCCAACTGAATGTGGAGCAAGAGAGAAAGGACACTTAGATATTGTGTTTTTGATATACCAGACACTATGTTAAGTGCTTCATATAAATTATCTCAATTCTGTAAGCACTTGAAGGGCTAGGACAAATCAAGGTGTCTTCACTCCATGTCGTCATGCATTCTATTATGCTGCAATGCTCCTTGGATCCTATTTTATTTTAATTTGCAGGCTGGGAGGCAACAGACTTCAGTAAGCCATTTTGGCTTGGAGTACAGAGTTGTGGGTGATGTTAGATAAACTTCCTGGTGTGTAAAATGGGTTTGAAGCCAATAGCTACCATATGTTGAATGCTAATGCATGCTTCTTTTAAGCCACCCAACCAAATGTGAGTGCACATTGTTTCCTTCCATTTCACAGATGAGAAACCTGAAGATAGTCAGAATTTAGTAATTTGTCTAAGGTCACACAGTGGAGATCTGAATCAAGATCTGTCTGTTTCTCAGCCCTTGCCTTTTCCATAAGCCCAGCCTTCTTTCTGAGCCCTGGGGTGGGGATGGAGAACTGAAGATGGCAAATGAAATAGTGCCCATGAAAGTCTATAGAAATGAGTGAGAAAAGAATCTTTGAAAGTGGGAGTTCTAGGAAAATGTGTTATTCCTCTAATACTGTTACTGTTGTTACCATTGTCGACATCAGGGAAAGATGACTGATGGTCATGGTTACAGGCTGCCTGAGTTCTCTCAAGTCAATTAAACTATTTTCCTACCTGTCTTCCATTGAATGGATGCTGCCCATTAATGATGATGATACAAACAGCTGACTAAACCAAGGGTCTTCCCAAATCCAGCCCTCAGTTCTTTTCTACTTCTCTTTGTCTCCCTTCTGTCGAGTCCTCCAAATTTGTTTCCAGTCTTTCTTTTTTCTTCACTGTTTTACTTGAGTCAGCTCAACTCCTTTACAATCTCCATTCCCAATTCTCAGGGCGCTTGTCGTGTTATCATGGAGTGCTGAAGAATGCATATAAATAACACACTGGAATGTGGAGTAATTTTTCTATCCACCCAGAGCCTCTAGAAGCAGTAAAAAGAATTCCCCTTCAGCCATATACATCTGGACCCCACATGGGCTGGAGGAATGATGCTTACTGTTCAAGTCTAGCCTCAAGAAATGCAACATCAGAAATAGCTTGGCACCAGGGCTGGGTAAGACTTGAACAGCGCCTGAACACCGCTGACTTAGCTTGAGTAAGGGAACTCACTGGGCCCTGCAGCTGTGATCTCTCCCTGCAGACCTCAAGACCATTCCCTTTCCCCTCCTAAGGGGAGAATGTCAATACTCCTCTCCCTCGCCTGTAGCCGGTCCGCTCACAAGTGTGCCTCTGCATAGTAGATCAGTGTGGCCCCCACCCCCAATCTGCAGTCCTCACTGACTCAGTGGCCTGGCATGGGGGCGGCAAACGCTGACCCTGAGCTGCTACAGTTACCAGTAGCGGCTAATGTTGGTGACAACCCTGGGGGGAGGGGAGCGGAATAAGGGGAATGGGAAGTGGGATTCTGGGAGCCCTGTGGAGACTCTAGCTGCCCTTTCACCTCTCAGCTCTCTGAGCGATTTGTATTCCCAGTTCCCAGCTGTGAATCCATGCAGTCGGCTGCAGAATGCTAGGGATAAAGTGCCAAAAACCTAGCAGGAGGTGAGAAAGGAAAGCCTTTGTCATCACCTCCACACCGCTACCATGCTGCGTCTGTGTTTATAAAAGGGGGAACATAAACAGACTCGGGGAGACCTAATGATTTGGGTTATGGGGCTTTGGAAGTGGCTGAAATTCTGCCCCTTGCTTTTTGTTGACCCAGTAGAAGAAATATCACCTAGGAGGAACGCTTCAGATAAGTCAGCTGTCAAGAAAGAGGTGAAGATGATCAAATAAATAAACTCAACTGTTCTGCTAAGAGGCCAGGCTAGACTGGGGGATTATAATGGAGGCAGAGGAACTGGGAGAGCTTAGGGCCTGACTTGCCTCTTTTTTGAGTTTCTGGAGGGTGTTCAGCTCAGCGACTCTACAGAAGGAATATATATACCACCAGAAACTCCGGAAGGTGAATAGACAAAGTAGATTTCACTTCCAGGGGAAAAAACAAAAGAGTCTGCCATCTTCTTGTCTTAACTCATCGATAAAAGTCTGAAACTTGAATGCTTTCTTCTTGCATGCAGACTAGAGGGAAAGGACATTTGAATATTAATAACTGGAGGAGGCTGACTGAGGCTTGAAGTACATAAACACTTGAGTTTGATGATTAATATTTGTCATCATGGAAGATTTTTCTCCAACGTTTTCCCTGGGCACTTTTTTGGTTGAATTTATTTACTATTATCTTAAGAAAGAAATCTTTAAACCATGCAGGCTGAGGTTTGAGGCATTCTCAGTTGCTAATTTAACTTACTAAATCAGAGACTGTTTCTCCCAGTGAAAGCTTTGGATTCTTCACTAATCCTAATTGTCGATAAAAAACTGGTAAGTGGTAATGAGGCAGGAAGCCGTGGATGGCTGTGAGATCCCAGGAGGGTATTACCCTCTCCTTCAAATATCTGGATCAACAACCAGCCATTAGCCACAGTGTGATGTAATTATATTGGAAGAACTTTGGACAGATGGTTGAGATGTTTCTGTTTATACTGTAATTCTTTCCCCTAAAATATATATTTATTTGATATCAGACTAAGCATATTTAGATGAATAGTCTGTTCATCTATTTTTTCCCCTCTCTGGGACCTTTTTTTAAAACCCCTTTTTGCTCTGAGTTTCTGTTATAAGAACATACAAAGATGAAAGGCCAGAAAGTTAGCTTTTAAACCTGGCAATAAACCCTATAAACCAACCAACATCAAGGGAGAGGGCACTAGAGCATTGTCAACTGTGACAAGATAATCTCAGAAACAGACCCTGCTCAAGTTCAAATTCAATACAGATGGAGATTTTTAAAATAAAGTGGGCTGGGAAGGAGAATGATCTTTGCTGACCTAACTCCAAAGCAAGAAGCATAATCTGGCCCAAATCTTAAAAATAGAGAACTGTCCAAGAATAATAATAGTATCTTGCTGGGAAAGACTTTTTATCTTAGTTTAGTCAGAAAAAATAGAATGTAAAGCTTTTCTCAATTTCTCCAGTCCCACATTGTGAGCCCTGGTTCTTTATTAGTCCTTTTCTAAACCACGGGTAGATATGAATGGTGGTGGATAAATTCAGCCAAGGAGGAATTGTGGGTAGGTAGAGACACAGATGCAGGGGAGGTAGATGAATCAAAATTGAAGGTGCAGGGATGGGTTAGGACTGTGTGGCTAGACTCCTTTTCTAGAACTACTTATGGTTTCCTGAACAGCCCTGCTATGTCATATCACTTGCCCCTGGGCCAACTATTCTGCTAAAAGGCCACTCCAGACTAGGTGACTATGATGGAGGCAAAAGAATTGAGAATGCTTATGGCCTGACTTGCTCCTTTTTCGAGTTTGCACATGCTGTTCCCTTTGACAGTCTTCTTATCCATTCAAGATAAGACTTACCCTGCAAAACTCAGCTCATTGAGGACCTTCTCTGGAAATCCCTCCGTTTTTCCTGGTTGGATCAACAACCACTCTTCCCTTGGTACATTCTGCCTCTGTCTCAGCCCCTGTCTACCAGAGTGATATTCATGTTGACTCAACTGACTTCAATACTTGTCTGTGAGTTCTTTGAGAACAGGGACCTTATTCTTATTACATCTGTCCCAGGTGATGCCAAGCTGTAGTAGGCACAGAGTGAATATTTACTGAGTTTGATTTTATTAGAATTGAGTTGAAGTGAATTGAGAATTAGATCCCCCACTCAATGGCTTTCATAGCAGAAATGCTGGAGTCATATGTTAATTTAAAGTTGTTCTTTTTCTGGCATGAATTGGGCCAGGGAATAAGATGCTCTTAGGCTGTATCTAGGTTGATTCCATGACTTGGCTGTTGTGACTAGTGCTGTGATGAACCTATGAGCACATGTGTCTTTTTGGTAGAGCAATTTATTTTCCTTTGGGTATAAAATAAAATATGGTACATATACACCATGGAATACTATGCAGCCATAAAAAGAATGAAATCATGTCCTTTGTGGCAACATGGATGCAGGTGGAGACCATTATCCTAAGCAAATACAGGCAGAAAGAGTAAACCAAATACTGCATGTTCTCACTTATTAGTTGGAGCTAGGCACTGGGTACACATGAACATAAAGACAAGAACAACAGACACTGAGGACTACTAAGGCGGGGAGAAAATGAGGGAGGTAAGGATCTAAAAACCACCTACTGGGTACTATGCTCACTACCTGGGTGACAGGATCATTAGTACCCCAAACCTCAGTGTCATGCAATATACTCTTGTAGCAAACCTGCCCACGTACTCCCTGATTCTAAACATTGAAATTATAAAAGAAAAAAAAAAACCCAAAACTAAAGTGAGCCTCTTTTCTTCCAACCCACTGAGGTATTGTAGAGCCAAAGATATAATTAATGTATATCCCAAACTGGCAGGTTGTGGCATAAAAATGCGGCCCATCGACATTTAAAAAACAAACATTTGGTGGACATGAGGCACATTACCAATATAAGTGAGGGATTTTGTTTTCTTCTTTATCCGTAACTTGTCAGAAGCCTGGTGAGAAATCTCAGAGATACGGTCATGTGCCGCATAATGTTTCGGTCAATGATGAGCCACATATACAGGTGGTCCCATAAGATAATAATTGAGCTGAAAATTTCCCATTGCCTAGTGATGTAGCTATTGCAACCTTGTAGTGCAATTGCTTTATTTTTTAAGTAAATGTAGTGTAACCTAAGTGTACAGTGTTTATAAAGTCTACAGTAGTGTATAGTAATGTCCTAGACCTTCACATTCACTCACTACCCACTCACTGACTCACCCAGAGCAACTTCCAGCCCGGCAAACTCCATTCATTGTAAGTGCCCTATACAGGTGACCATTTTTTATTTTGTATACCTATTTTATTTTTTATACTTATTGTATACCTTTTCTATGTTTATATACGTTTAGATAGAAAATTACTTACTACTGTGATACAGTTACCTACAGTATTGAGTATAGGCACACTTTTACAGATTTGTAGCCTAGGAGCAATAGACTGTACCATATAGCCTAGATGTGGAGTGAGCTATACCCTCTAGGTGTGTCTAAGTACGCTCTGTGATGTTTTCACAACCACTAAATCACCTAAGGATGCTTTTCTCACAATGTATCCCCATCATTAAGCAATGCATGTCTATGTTTTAAAAGTTCTAGCTAGTTGTATAAATTACCTGTTTAGTTCCTATCTTTCATTAAATCAAATTGAAGTTAGCAAGAAAGACAGTCTCACTCCATTGCATGCCTGATCTCTCTGGAGACTTAGAGTATTCCAAGTTATGGTTTGAGAGGATCTGGAACATGGTGTTACATAAGCATTTAAAGACTGTAGAGTCACAGAAACTTGGATTTGAATCATGGATCTGCCAAATAAAAATAAGATCTTTAACCTTTTTATTTCTCTCCTTATAAAAATGAAATCAGTCTAGATAAATCATTTAATCCAGGGTCCACTACTCTGTAAGAATTTAATAACCAATTATTATTGTTATTATTATCTACTACCAGATATTCCAACACCAGTTGAGAAGCTCAAGCAATTTGCTGAGCATTTTTGTTCATTGCCACCTTCTGAGTAAACTCTACCCTTTTGACTCCTGATGTAATACTTGCAGTTTATTAATAATACAATTTAGACTTAGCATCCTGCTACCAAGTCAGTATTTTTTCACCATCTTGAATCTGATTATGACATTTAATAGGGAAACAATTAGACAAGACCAGTTGTTTCATAATGAGATTAAAGAGTTATCATTTGAGATTATCTAATTCAATGCCTTGCTTGCCAATGGCATTAACTCAACTCTCAATGCACACAACAGAGTAGGTCATGGGTTCAGGCTCAGGTGACAAGATGCCAAAGGCTTGAGCATCAATTTACCTATCAAGGTTCCCCACATAGCTCATTCTGTGATTTTTTTTTTTTGGTTATAATAGTTGCAATAAAGTCAGAGTATCTCTCCTTTGATAACATGTAGTAAACATATACTTTTATGCCATGAAATTTATAGAGAACATACAAGCGGTTGAAACACTAAGCTCACAAACGACACTTACCAGAAATGAAAAGGCACATGGTTAATGCATTGTCCTGGTTTTAGATAATTATTTTAAGACATATTCCCAGATTATGCTTACTCTGTGCCTAACCCAGAGCTAACCAATTATGGAACAAAGAAAAGATATGCTGTGGCATCTGCTGTCAGATTTAGCTACAATTAGGGTTATCTGGTGATCAGAATTATTAACCGAGGTCCCTAATGACGTGAAGAAAAATATATTACCCAAATGCAACCGGATAATGCCCACATTGGCTAATAGATGATATTAACATTAGCCAGCTAAATGTGAAATTATTGATTTCTTTTTGCAGATTGGATAGAAACAAAAGTTCAGCTAATTTTAAAATAAGCTATTGAGAAGAGTGGCATTTTTCTTTTTTAAAAAATAATTTTTTCAGGTGACATTCATACAAAATTAGCCATTTTAAAGTGAGCAATTCAGTGGCATTTTATGTATTCACAATGTTTTGCAGCCACAATCTCTATTTAGTTCCAAATATGTCCATAACTCCAAAGTAAAACCCATAAATAATAAGCAGTTTCTCCCAATTCCTTCCTGTCTCATCCCTAGCAACCACCAGCCTGCACTTTATCTCCTTGGGTTTATCTATTTTGGATATTTCATATGAATAAACTCATAGAATACATGACCTCTTCTGTCCGGCTACTTTTGCTTAGCATGTTTTCAAGGTTCATCCATGTGGTAGCATGTACAGTACTTTGTTTTATTTTATGGACAAATAATATTTCACTGTATGTATATACCACAATTTCTTTATTCATCTCTTGATGAACATTTGAGCTGTTTCCACTTTTTGGCTATTGTGAATAGTGCTGTCATGAACAGATGTGTATATGTACTTGTTTGAGTACCTGTTTTCAATTCTTTAGGGGTGTATGTATATATATACACAGAGACAGAGAGAGAGAGAGGCAGAGTTTCGCTCTTGTTGCCCAGGCTGGAGTGCAATGGCGCTATCTTGGCTCACTGCAACCTTTACCTCTTGGGTTCAAGCGATTCTCCTGCCTCAGCCTCCTGAGTAGCTGGGATTACAGGCATGCACCACCATGCCTGGCTAATTTTTGTATTTTTAGTAGAGACAGGGTTTCTCCATGTTGGTCAGGCTGATCCTGAACTCTCAACCTCAGGTGATCCGCCCACCTCGGCCTCCCAAAGTGCTGGGATTACAGGTGTTTGATTTTAGCAATTCTAGTTAGTGTTGAGTGGTACCTCATTGTGGTTTTGATTTGCATTTCTTCTAATGACTAATGAGGTTGAGTATTTTTTACTGTACTTATGGGCCATTTGTACGTCTTCTTGAGAAAAATGTGTATTTAAATCCATTGCCTATTTTTCAATGGGGTTTTCTTTTTGCTCTTGAGTTGTAGAGTTCTTTATACACTCTCAATATTGAATTCATATGAGATCTGTAATTTGCAAATATTTTCTCCCATTCTGTACGATGTCTTTGTACTTTCTTGATTATGCCCACATATGCACACAATTGTTTATTTTTATAAAGTCCAACACCTTTGTAGCTTGTGCTTTGGGTATTATACTTAAGAATCGATTGCCAAATCGAAGGTTACAAAGACTTAACCCTATGTTGTCTTCTAAGATTTTTGTGATTTTAGCTCTTATATTTAGATCATTGACTCATTTTGAGTTAAGATTTGCACATGGTGTGAAGAAGTTCAAGTTCATTCTTTCACATGTGTGATGGTCTAAGCACCATTTGTTGAAGAAACAACCTTTTCCCCATTGAATGGTTTTGGCATCCTTGTTGAAAATCAATTGGCCATAGATAAATGAATATTTTGGGGCTCTCAATTATATTCATTTTGTCTATATGTTTATCATTATGTCCATACCACACTTTTGATTACTGTAGCTTTATAGAAAGTTGTATAATTAGGAAATATAAATCCTTCAGCTTTGTTCTTTTTCAAAATTTTTTTGGCTATTCCAAGCCTTGAAATTCCATATGGATTTGAGGCTCAGCTTTTCCATTTCTGCAAAAAAGAGAAGTTCTAATTTTGATAGGGATTACACTCACTCTATAGATTGCTTTGGGTAGTACTGATGTCCTAAAAATATTGTCTTCCATGATCATAGGAATATTTTCATTTATTTTGGTCTTCTTTGATTTTTTTTAAAGTAATGTTTTCTAGTTTGCAATGTATGAGTCTTTCACTTCCTTGGATAAATTTATTCCTAGGTATTGTATTCTTTTGATGCTATTGTAAATAGATTTCTTTTGTAATTTCTTTATTAGCTAGTTCATTACTGTTATACAGAAACTACTGATTTTTGTGTGTTGATGTGGTGCCTTTCAGCTTTCAGCTAATAAGTGAATTCATTCATTAGCATCAGTAGCTTTTTCAGTGGATTATTTTGGAAATTTCATATGTGTAGAATAATGTAATCTGTGTGTAGAAATAGTTTTACTTATTAGGCTGGCACAGTGGCTCATGCATGGAATCCTAGCACTTTGGGAAGTCGAGGTGGGAGGATCGCTTGAGCCCAGAAGTTTGAGACCAGCCTGGACAACATACACAATGTCTTTACGAAAAAGAAAAGGGAAAGAAATTAGCCAGGCATGGTGTCAGGCCTCTGAGCCCAAGCCAAGCCATCGCATCCCCTGTGACTTGCACATATATGCCCAGATGGCCTGAAGTAACTGAAGAATCACAAAAGAAGTGAATATGCCCTGCCCCACCTTAACTGATGACATTGCACCACAAAAGAAGTGTAAATGGCTGGTCCTTGCCTTAAGTGATGACATTACCTTGTGAAAGTCCTTTTCCTGGCTCATCCTGGCTCAAAAAGCTCCCCCACTGAGCACCTTGCGACCCCCACTCCTGCCCGCTAGAGAACAAACCCCCTTTGACTGTAATTTTCCTTTACCTACCCAAATCCTATAAAACAGCCCCACCCTTATCTCCCTTCGCTGACTCTCTTTTCGGACTGAGCCCGCTTGCACCCAGGTGAAATAAACAGCCATGTTGCTCACACAAAGCCTGTTTGGTGGTCTCTTCACACGGACGCGCATGAAATTTGGTGCTGTGACTTGGATCGGGGGACCTCCCTTGGGAGGTCAATCCCCTGTCCTCCTGTTCTTTGCTCCATGAGAAAGATCCACCTACGACCCCAGGTCCTCAGACCGACCAGCCCAAGGAACATCTCACCAATTTTAAATCAGGTAAGCGGCCTCTTCTTACTCTCTTCTCCAACCTCTCTCACTGTCCCTCAACCACTTTCTCCTTTCTACTCTTCAATCTCTCCCTTCTCTTAATTTTAATTCCTTTCATTTTCTGGGAGAGACAAAGGAGACACATTTTAACCATGGACTCAAAACTCGGCGCTGGTCACGGACTGGGAAGGCAGACTTCCCTTGGTGTTTCATCATTGCAGGGACGCCTCTCTGATCATTCACCCACATTTCAAAGGTGTCAGACCATGCAGGGACGCCCACCTTGGTCCTTCACCCTTAGCGGCAAGTCCCGCTTTTCTGGGAAAGGGGCAAGTACCCCAACCCCTTCTCTCCTTGTCTCTACCCCTTCTCTGCTTTTCTGGGGGAGGGGCAAGTACCCCTCAACCCCTTCTCCTTCACCCTTAGTGGCAAGTCCTGCTTTTCTAGAGGAGGGGCAAGTACCCCAATCTCGTATCTCTGTGCCCCAATCCCTTATTTCCGTGCCCCAACCTCTTATATCTCTGCGCCCCAATCCCTTATTTCCGTGCCCCGACCCCTTATTTCTGTGCTCTGACCCCTTATTTCTGCACCCCATCCCTTATTTCCACACCCCGACCTCTTATCTCTGTGCCCCAACCCCTTTTCCCACTTTTCTGGAAGGTAAGAACCCCCAAACTTCCCTTCATTTCTCTACTCTCTCTTTTCTCCAGGCTTGCTTCCTTCACTATAGGCAACCTTCCACCCTCCATTCCTCCTTCTACTCCCTTGGCCTGTGTTCTCAAAAACTTAAAACCTCTTCAACTCACACCTGACCTCAAACCTAAATGCCTTATTTTCTACTGCAATGCTGCTTGACCCCAATACAAACTTGACAGTAGTTCCAAATAGCCAGAAAATGGCACTTCGAATTTTTCCATCCTGCAAAATCCAAATACTTCTTGTCGTAAAATAGGCAAACGGTCTGAGGTGCCTGACATCCAGGCATTCTTTTACACATCAGTCCCTTCCTAGTCTCTGTGCCCAGTGCAACTTGTCCCAAATCTTCCTTCTTTCCCTCCCACCTGTCCCCTCAGTACCAACCCCAAGCATCGCTGAGTCTTTCTAATCTTCCTTTTCTACAGACCTATCTGACCTCTCCCTTCCTCCCCAGCCTGCTCCTCACCAGGCCAAGCTAGGTCCCAATTATTCCTCGGCCTCCACTCCTCCACCCTATAATCTTTTTATCGCCTCCCCTCCTCACACCCGGTCTGGCTTACAGTTTCGTTCCGTGACTAGCCCTCCCCCACCTGCCCAGCAATTTACTCTTAAAAAGGTGGCTGGAGCCAAAGTCATAATCAAGGTGAATGCTCCTTTTTCTTTATCCCAAATCAGATAGCGTTTAGGCTCTTTTTCATCAAATATAAAAATCCAGCCCAGTTCATGACTTGTTTGGCAGCAACCCTGAGACGCTTTACAGCCCTGGACCCTAAAAGGTCAAAAGGCTGTCTTATTCTCAATATACGTTTTATTACCCAATCTGCTTCCGACATTAAATAAAACTCCAAAAATTGGAATCTGGCCCTCAAACCCCACAACAGGACTTAATTAACCTCACCTTCAAGGTGTACAATAACAGAAAAAAGTTGCAATTCCTTGCCTCCTCTGTGAGACAAACCCCAGCCACATCTCCAGCACACAAGAACTTCCAAACGCCTGAACCGCAGCAGCCAGGCGTTCCTCCAGAACCTCCTCCCCCAGGAGCTTGCTACACGTGCCGGAAATCTGGCCACCGGGCCAAGGAATGCCCGCAGCCCGGGATTCCTCCTAAGCCGCGTCCCATCTGTGTGGGACCCCACTGAAAATCGGACTGTTCAACTCACCTGGCAGCCACTCCCAGAGCCCCTGGAACTCCGGCCCAAGGCTCTCTGACTGACTCCTTCCCAGATCTTCTCAGCTTAGCGGCTGAAGACTGACACTGCCCGATCGCCTCGGAAGCCCCCTAGACCATCACGGACGCTGAGCTTCGGGTAACTCTCACAGTAGAAGGTAAGCCCGTCCCTTTCTTAATCAATACGGAGGCTACCCACTCCACATTACCTTCTTTTCAAGGGCCTGTTTCCCTTGCCTCCATAACTGTTGTAGATATTGACAGCCAGGCTTCTAAACCTCTTAAAACTTCCCAACTCTGGTGCCAACTTAGACGATACTCTTTTAAGCACTCCTTTTTAGTTATCCCCACCTGCCCAGTTCCCTTATTAGGCTGAGACACTTTAACTAAATTATCTGCTTCCCTGACTATTCCTGGACTACAGCTGAATCTCATTGCCGCCCTTCTTCCCAATCCAAAGCCTCCTTTGCGTCCTCCTCTTGTATCCCCCCACCTTAACCCACAAGTATAAGATACCTCTACTCCCTCCTTGGTGACCGATCATGCACCCCTTACCATCTCATTAAAACCTAATCACCCTTACCCCACTCAACGCCAATATCCCATCCCGCAGCACGCTTTAAAAAGATTAAAGCCTGTTATCGCTTGCCTGCTACAGCATGGCCTTTTAAAGCCTATAAACTCTCCTTACAATTCCCCCATTTTACCTGTCCTAAAACCAGACAAGCCTTACAAGTTAGTTCAGGATCTGCGCCTTATCAACCAAATTGTTTTGCCTATCCACCCTGTGGTGCCAAATCCATATACTCTCCTATCCTCAATACCTGCCTCTACAACCCATTATTCTGTTCTAGATCTCAAACATGCTTTCTTTACTATTCCTTTGCACCCTTCATCCCAGCCTCTCTTTGCTTTCACTTGGACTGACCCTGACACCCATCAAGCTCAGCAAATTACCTGGGCTGTACTGCCGCAAAGCTTCACAGACAGCCCCCATTACTTCAATCAAGCCCAAATTTCTTCCTCATCTGTTACCTATCTCGGCATAATTCTCATAAAAACACACGTGCTCTCCCTGCCAATCGTGTCCGACTGATCTCTCAAACCCCAGCACCTTCTACAAAACAACAACTCCTTTCCTTCCTAGGCATGGTTAGTGCAGTCAGAATTCTTACACAAGAGCCGGGACCACACCCTGTAGCCTTTCTGTCCAAACAACTTGACCTTACTGTTTTAGCCTAGCGCTCATGTCTGCGTGCAGCGGCTGCCACTGCTTTAATATTTTAGAGGCCCTCAGAATCACAAACTATGCTCAACTCACTCTCTACAGTTCTCATAACTTCCAAAATCTATTTTCTTCCTCATACCTGACGCATATACTTTCTGCTCCCCGGCTCCTTCAGCTGTGCTCACTCTTTGTTGAGTCTCCCACAATTACCGTTGTTCCTGGCCCAGACTTCAATCTGGCCTCCCACATTATTCCTGATACCACACCTGACCCCCATGACTGTATCTCTCTGATCCACCTGACATTCACCCCATTTCCGCAAATTTCCTTCTTTCCTGTTCCTCACCCTGATCACGCTTGATTTATTGCTGGCGGTTCCACCAGGCCTAATCGCCACACACCAGCAAAGGCAGGTTATACTATAGTACAAGCCACTAGCCCGCCTCTTAGAACCTCTCATTTCCTTTCCATCGTGGAAATCTATCCTCAAGGAAATAACTTCTCAGTGTTCCATCTGCTATTCTACTACTCCTCAGGGATTCTTCAGGCCCCCTCCCTTCCCTACACATCAAGCTTGAGGATTTGTCCCCACCCAGGACTGGCGGATTAGCTTTACTCAACAGGCCCGAGTCAGAAAACTAAAATACCTCTTAGTCTAAATAGACACTTTCACTGAATAAGTAAAGGCCTTTCCTACAGGGTCTGAGAAGGCCACCGGAGTCATTTCTTCCCTTCTGTCAGGCATAATTCCTCAGTTTAGCCTTCCCACCTCTATACAGTCTGATAACAGATGAGCCTTTATTAGTCAAATCAGCCAAGCAGGTTTTCAGGCTCTTAGTATTCAGTGAAACCTTTATATCCCTTACGGTCCTCCGTCTTCAAGAAAAGTAGAACGGACTAAAGGTCTTTTAAAAACATACCTCACCAAGCTCAGCCACCAACTTAAAAAGGACTGGACAATACTTTTACCACTTTCCCTTCTCAGAATTCAGGCCTGTCCTGGGAATGCTACAGGGTACAGCCCATTTGAGCTCCTGTATGGACGCTCCTTTTTATTAGGCCCCAGTCTCATTCCGGACACCAGACCAACTTAGACTGTGCCCCCCCGCCCAAAAAAAAACTTGTCATCCCTACTATTTTCTGTCTAGTCATAATACTCCTATTCACCGTTCTCAAGTACTCATACATGCCCTGCTCTTGTTTACACTGCCGGTTTACACTGTTTTTCCAAGCCGTCACAGCTGATATCTCCTGGTGCTATCCCCAAACTGCCACTCTTAACTCTTGAAGTAAATAAATAATCTTTGCTGGCAGGACTATGCTGAATCTCCTTAGGCACTCTCTAATCAGATGTCCTAGGTCCTCCCAATTCTTAGACCTTTTATACCTGTTTTTCTCCTTCTGTTATTCCATTTAGTTTTTCAATTCATACAAAACCGTATCCAGGCCATCACCAATCATTCTATACGACAAACATTTCTTCTAACATCCCCACAATATCACCCCTTACCACAAGACCTCCCTTCAGCTTAATCTCTCCCACTCTAGGTTCCCACGCCGCCCCTAATCCCGCTTGAAGCAGCCCTGAGAAACATTGCCCATTCTCTCTCCATACCACCCCCCAAAAATTTTCGCCGCCCCAACACTTCAACACTATTTTGTTTTATTTTTCTTATTAATATAAGAAGGCAGGAATGTCAGGCCTCTGAGCCCAAGTCAAGCCATCGCATCCCCTGTGACTTGCACATATATGCCCAGATGGCCTGAAGTAACTGAAGAATCACAAAAGAAGTGAATATGCCCTGCCCCACCTTAACTGATGACATTGCACCACAAAAGAAGTGTAAATGGCTGGTCCTTGCCTTAAGTGATGACATTACCTTGTGAAAGTCCTTTTCCTGGCTCATCCTGGCTCAAAAAGCACCCCCACTGAGCACCTTGCGACCCCCACTCCTGCCCGCCAGAGAACAAACCCCCTTTGACTGTAATTTTCCTTTACCTACCCAAATCCTATAAAACGACCCCACCCTTATCTCCCTTCGCTGACTCTCTTTTCGGACTCAGCCCTCCTGCACCCAGGTGAAATAAACAGCCATGTTGCTCACACAAAGCCTGTTTGGTGGTCTCTTCACACGGACGCGCATGAAACATGGTGACACACACCTGTGGTCCCAGCTACTCTGGAAGTTAAAGTGGGAGGATCACTTGAGCCTGGGAGGTTGAGGATGCAGTGAGCTGTGATTGTGCCACTGCACTCCAGCCTGAGTGACAGAGTAAGAACCTGTCTAAGGAAAAAAATAGTTTTACTTCTTTCTTTCTAATTTGGATGCCTTTTATTTTTTTATGTTTAATTGCTCTGCGTAGGGGTTTTAGTGCAATGTTGTACAGCAGTGGTGAAAGCAGACATTCTTGTTTTGTTCCTGAACTTAAGGGGAAAGATTTCAGTCTTTAACCATAGAATCTGATATTATCTGTAGGTTTTTCATAGGGAAATTCCCTTCTGTTTCTAGCTTTCTGAGTGTTTTTATGATGAAAGGTAGCAGATTTTGTCAAATGTCTTTTTCTGCATCAATCGAGATGATCAAGCATTTTTCCTCCCTTTATTAATGTGTTGTATTACATTGTTCCTTTTGTTGTTGTTGCTGTTGTCATTGTTTTTGGTGGTGGTGTTGAATCACTCTTGCATTCCTGGAATAACTACCGCTTGGTTGTAGTGCATAATCTATTTAATGTGCTGCTGAATTCAATTTGTTAGTACTTTTGTTTTACAAAGGATGTTGATCTGTAATTTTCTTTTTTTTTTTTTCTTGTTATTTTCTTTTCTTGTGATTTCTTTTCATCACAAGAAACCTGACTTTGGTATCAGGTTAATGCTAGCCTCATGGAATGAATCAGGAAGTGTTCTCCTCTCTTTCATTTCTGGAAAGAGTTTGAGAAGAATGGGTGTTCATTCTTCCTTAAATGCTTGGTAGAATCCCCAGTGAAGCCATCTGTCCCTGAACTGTTCTTTGTTGAGAGGTTTATTACTGATTCAGTGTTTTCATTTGTTATAATTCTGCTCAGATTTTATATTTCTTCTTGAGTCAGTTTTGATAATTTGTTTTTTTCTGGGAATTTGTTCATTTCGTTTACATTATCTAATTTGCTGGCGTATAACTGTTTATAGTATTTGTTTAAATTCTTTTTGTTTCTGTAAGGTCAGTAATAATGTCTTCCACTTTTATTTTACTTATTTGTGTCCTCTTTCTTTGTTGTCAATCTAGCTAAAGATTTGTCAGTTTTTAAGATCAATTTTTAGTTACATTGATTCTATTGATTTTCTATTCTTTATTGCGTTTATCTCTGCTCTAATCTTCATTATTTTCTTCCTTTGCTAGTTTTAGGTTTATCTTATTCTTCTTTTTCTAGTTCCTTGAGGTGTAAAGTTAGGTTATTGATTTGAGACTTTTCATCTTTTGTAATGTAGATGTTTACCTGTTATAAATTTCCCTCTGAATACTACCTTTGCTGCATCCCATACATTTTGGTATGTTGTGTTTCTCTTTTCAATTGTTTCTAAGTATTTTCTAATTTCCCTTGTCATTTCAACTATGACCCCCTGTTGCTTAAGAGTGTGTCATTTAACTTGCACATATTTGTGAATTTTCTAGTTTTCTTTCTGTTATTGATTTATATCTTTATTCCATTGTGGTCAAAGAAGATACTTTTTATTATTTCAATTCTTTTAAATTTATTGAGACTTGTTTTGTACCTAATGCATGGTCCATCCTAGAGAATTTTCTATGTGCACTTGAGAAGAATGTGTATTTTGCTGTTGTTGCATATGATATTCTATATATGTCTGTTTCTAGTTGTTTATACAATTGTTAATACTCTCTATTTTCTTGCTGATCTTTTGTCCAGATGTTTTATCCATTATTGAAAGTTGTATATTCAAGTTTCCAGCTGTTATTATAGAATTATCTATTTCTCCCTTTACTTTAGTCGGTGTTAGCTTCATATATTTTGGGACTCTGTTGTTTGGTACATATCTGTTTATAAATGTTAAATCTTTTTGATGAGTTAACCCTTTAATCAATATGTAATGCCCTTCTGTGTCTTTTTTGACAGTTTTTGACTGATGTCTATTTTGCCTGATACCTATAGCTGCTCCAGCTGTCTTTTGGTTACTGTTTGCATGGCATATATTTTTCTATCGTTTCACTTTAAATTTATTTGTGTCTGTTTGGATCTAAAGTGGGTCATTTGGAGACAGCATATAGTTGGATCATTTTTAAAATATCTATTCTTTCAAACTCTGCCTTTTGATTGGAGATTTTAATCCATTTAATTTTGAGGCAGTTAAGGAAGAACTTACTTTTGCTCTTTTTCTATATGTTTTCTGCATGTTTTATTACTGTTGTGATGCTCATTTTCTCCATTACTGCCTCCTTTGTGGTTAGTTGATTTTTTTTTTCACACCGTTTTGATGCCCTGCTTGCTGAGTTCTGTGTATACTTTTTAAACACAGTCTCAGGGATTGCCAGGGGGATTATATTTACCATCTTAAGTTTGTAGTGATATGGTTAGAACGGACACCTATTTAACTTCAATAGCAAACAAAAACTCTTCTTCTATACAGCTCTATCCCCTTTTATGTTATTGTTATTGTTACAAATTATATCTTCATATATTGTGTGCCTAACATAAAATATAAAGATACTGTGAACCCTGAAAATCTGAGAGAGGTCTTAGTTAATTTAGAAAGTTTATTTTGCCAAGATTGAGGATGTATGCCCATGACACAACCTCAGGCGGTCCTGATGACATGTGCCCAAGGTATTAGGGGCACAGCTTGGTTTTATACATTCTAGGGAGACATGAGACTTCAATAAATGTGTGTAAGATGTAGATTGGTTCAGTCCAGAAAGGTGGGAAAACCCGAGGCAATGGCAGGACAACTCGAAGCAGGGAGGGGGCTTCCAGGTCATAGGTAGATAAGAGAAAAATGGTTACAGTCTTTTGAGTTTCTGATTAGCCTCTCCAAATGAGATAATCAGATATGCATTTACCTCAGTGAGCAGAGGGGTGACTGAATAGAACGGGAGGCAGATTTGCCCTAAGCAGTTCCCCACTTGACTTTTCCCTTTAGTTTAGTGATTTGGGGGCCCCAAGATTTCTTTTCCTTTCATAATACATATTATCTTTATGTAGTATGATATATATATATACAGATAACATAGATTTGCAATGATTTTCATGCAATTATCTTTAAATCATGTAGGAAATAAAAAGTGTAGTTACAAACAAAAAATGCAATAACACTGGTTTTAATATTTACCTATTTAGTAAACTTTATTGTAGATATTTATTTCTTCTTATAGCTTCAGGTTATTGCCTGGTGTCCTTCTGTTTCATCCTGAAGGACTGCCCTTAACATTCCTTGAAGGGCAGGTTTACAGGTAACGAATTTTCTCAGCTTTAAAAAATCTGCATATATCCTAATATTTTCACCTTTGGAAGATAGTTTTAAAGTCCTTAGTTGACAGTTTTTTTGTCAGCACTTTAAGTATGTCATCCCACTGCCTTGTGGCCTCCATGCCTTCTGATGAGTCATCAGCTATTATCCTTGTTGAGGATGTCTTCTGCATGACGAGTCATTTCTTTCTTGCTGATTCAAAATTCTGTATATGGGTTTGACAGTTTGATTGTAACATGTTTCAGTGGGATTCTCTTTGAGTTTATTGTATGGGAGTTTGTTGAGCTTCTTGAATCTGTAAATTCTTGTCATTAATCAAATTTAGCAAAGATTTTGGCCATTATTTTTTCAAATATTCTTTCTACCCCATCTCTCTTTCTGTTCTCCTTCTGGGACTCCATAATGCATAGCTGGTCCACTTGATGGAGGCCCATAGGTTCTTATGTTCTGGTTACTTTTCTTCATTCTTTTTTTCTTTCTGCTCCTAGACTGGATACTTTTAATTGTTCTCTCTTTAAGTTCACTTAGTCTCTTTTTGGCTTGCTCTAATCTGCTGTTGAAAAACTCTACTGCATTTTTTATTTCAATTATTTTACTTTACAGCTTTAAAATTTCTATATAGGTCCTTTTTCTAATTTCTGTATCTTTATTGATATCATCATTTTGCTCATATATTTTTCTAGTTTTTTTTAGTTCTTATGTGGTTTTCTATAGCTATTTGAAAATAATTAAAACAGTTGATTTAAGATTGTTGTAGAGTAATGCTAATGACTTCACTTCTTCAGGGATTGTTTCTGTGAATTTGTTTTTTTCTTGAAAATGAACCAGAGTTCTTTGTTTCTTTTTATGCCTTACAATTTTTTTGTTGAAACACGGACATTTGAATATTACAATAGTTTAACTCTGGAAAACAGATTATTCCCCTTCCCCAGGATGTGCTCTTTTTGATTGTTGAAGGCTACACACATCTGTTTCTTTAGTGACTCTTTTAGGCTGTTTTTCCAAAGACTGTGTATTCTTCATTGTGTGTCCCTGAAACTTCTATTCCTTTACCTTGTGTTCAGTTGTTGTTCTGATACAGATTTCCTTGAACATCAAGAGCTAACAATATTAAACAAGTCAAAATATAAAATAAAACAAAAAACTCCAAACCCCACCTCTTCCATCTCTGTGGATGACTCTATGTTAATGTACTCCTTCTTCAACACTTCAGCACTTAGTCAGGCTCTTTACAACCCTGCCTCAATCTTTCTTTCCTGCTTGCACTGAGTCTAGAGATAAAAAGTGAAAGTTTAGGGTCTTCCCAGATGTTTTCTGAGAATGCATTCTTCCTTGGGCATCCATGTGTCTTTCTAGATTTTCCAGTATACACAGGTGCTTTTGAATGCCCAAATTTCCAAAAGAAACTATCGTCATTTTTTCTCCCAGGCTTTAGGTGTTCTATTGTAAACCTTGACTGTAATATTTTGCTCAAGGCAGCTGTGAGTTTCTCATTTATCTTGCATTGATTTTGAGCAATGCCTGCCACTTTTTTGTCTTGAGTAAGCTCCACATTAGGCAAAACAGAGATGAGCACCTTGCATCAGTTCTTCAGGTAGCCCTCAACAAGTTAGAGCAGACAAACAGAATGATTTACACATAAGTCTTGCTGTGTTCTCTCTGGAACCAGGGATCAGCATCCCACCCTGGGGATGCAGGCTGCCATCCTAAAGACCTCTTCTCAGTTGGGGAGGGGTTGGGGCAAGTGCAAATAAAAGAATGCCACAAAACTTTTCTACCATTCTTAACTTGCCTTTTTTTGCTGTTGTTTGGATTCAGCTTCCACTTGGTTCTGTAAAGCTTTGACTGTTTTAGAGAGTCCTGTAAGTTGGTTCTGGCAATTCTGCTTGTTTTTCTATGTTTCTTTGGAGGGACATGAGCTTGGAGCTGTTTACTCTCCTCTGTCATTTTGCTGATGTAACTCTGTGATACTTCTCTTGATAAGATTTTTCTGTGCTCCACATGCTGATACTGATAGGCAAACTATAATATTTTATGATGTCCCTGGTAACTTACCCATACGATTTTTTAAGTGCTTGAAAAGAATTCCACTAACAAACTAAATACTGAACTGTGAAGTAATTTTCTGATTTATATTTTCAACTTATTGCTATAAAAAATAAGCAATCACAAATGAAGCCAGGAGAATAAAAGAATTTAAACAACAAAATGCAGATTATGATAGTTGCTTGGGTGTAAAAGACTATAGAAAACTCAAGCGATGATGGATAGTTTATAATAAACTAAAAATTGAGAACCCTAGGGCAGGATTCTAGTTCTTCCTTTAACCAGCTGAGTAACCTGAGGCACATCCCAGTGAGGTCTTTCTGGCTGTTTCCTTGTATAGAAAATGAATGGGATAGACTTCATCAGTGACTTCCAAACTGGGTTCCAGGGAGATTAGGCATTAGGAAGCAGTTCATGGGGATAAAGGGAGAATTGATGGATTTTGCATATATTTGCAATATGATTCTGCTATGTTAAACATTTAAAATCATTGCATTAGATCATCTCTAGTTTTTTTCTGATAAAAAAATATTATTTGTAATTTTACGAAGTATATAGCCCTAATTTAGGAGAGAACTGGGAATTAGAAAACACAGATTCCAGGCCGGCTCTTTTGTTTATAGCCCTGAGATTTTAATAATGCTTATCATTATCTCTGCCTTTTTTGTCTTCATCTACAAAAGGGAGCTAGTAATAATTCTCTATGCACTTCTAGGAGCTATAGAGCAAATAGTAGGTAGAAATAGATGTGAAGTACTTTGAGAAGTTGAAAGTGTTAGGCAAAGGAAAGATATTACCAGTTGCTACAGCCCATGACTATCCCAACTACAAGATTTCTGGGACCTTGAAAAATTAGACAGAATCTGGTAGGGAATGACCTAAATTCTTATTTTCCAAGAGTGAATCAGCATAATGTCCTTCATGAGACTAGCTCTGGAGTATAATTGCCCAGGTGACCTTCCTGTGCCAGGTCAACCCACCTGGCTTAATTATCCAAGCCGTTTGAGAGCATGTCCATAGGTGAGAGAAGAAAAAGAGAAAAACCAAAAAAGAAGCCTTGAGGTGGAAGTGTTTGACCTTCAAAATGCTATTTGAGACTCTTCAAAATGCTGGGACTCTTTTGCCTACACCTTGGGCACACACAGCTCTTGGCTGACCTTGACTCTCATTCTCTGTCCATCTTGACTGATCATGCCCCACACTTTCTGGCCTTGCTTCGGGCCTTAAATCCAGACTGCTGACCTCACTCATCGGCTGAATGTTCCCCTGAGCTTCCATAATCAGCTGTTCCCCTCCATCTATTCCTGGTTGAACTTTTTCTTCTCTTGGGGGTAGTCACACTTCATAATCATATTTATAACACGTAAATAGAGTGACCAAGTCATCCTGGTTTGCCTGGAACTTTCACAGTTTTAAAACATAAAATTCTAGCTGGGGGGGGTGATGTGCTACTGTAGTCCCAGTTACTTGGGAAACTGAGGCAGGAAGATAGTTTGAGCCCAAGAGTTTAAGGCCAGTCTGGGCAACATAGGGAAATCTTTTCTCTTAAAAACAACAATAAGAAAAACATTGGAAATTCCATGTCCTAGTGAAAGGAGTTAGCCAGCTTGCTTTAGGCAAACAGTAGGGAAGGGGCCCCAGAGAACCTCTTACCCGCCCCACAAGTGCTTACATCAGATGTTTTGTTCAGATAAGGAAACTTGCACAGGGTGCTTGCCTAAACATGCCTGCAGTGGAAAGTTGAATTCCTGAACACATGCACAGTAAGGGAATTAAATCAATATAGAGAAGTTTAGTCTAAGGGCCTGCATGTTCACTAGAAGGATGGGGTGGAGCCGCCAGGAATTCGTGCCTTAAGCCCAGGTATTAAACCGTGAGGGGGGCACTTGCCTGCCTGCATCCCCTTTTTTTGCTGAGAGCTTTCCATTTGCTTGGTAAATTCTACTCCACTCACTCTTTGATGTCTGCATGCCTAATTCTTCCTGGCCATGAGACAAGAACCCACACCTAGCTGAGCTAAGAAGCAAAACAATCCTGCATCACTAGGAAACTCTTCAGTCCCAGGCAAACCAGGACAGTTGGTCACTTTATTGTGAAGGTATTAAAAAACAAACATACATATATATAAAGATAGAGACCTATAGATCAAAGGCTTCTGGACCATGTTATAAATATCCTGCTTTTTAATATAAGCTCTCTGGTTGGATCTAATTGATGAAGACATATATACCAAAAATGTCATTGAGTCTGATTCACTCCAAATATTATACCTATTTCTTTTGGGGGCCAGAAGTTAGAAGAACCAATACTATTGCTTTGGGGATGCCCTTTCTGGGCCATGGTGTAGCATACCCACAGCATTTTTCACCACACTTTTGAGGCTGCTAGACTGTATACATATAGCTATGTGTATCACCAGAACACCAAGCAAAGGTCCTGTGGAATACATAATGATCACAGCATATCAGACACAAAGAAGTCCAAATAGGAAGAAGCAGAGAGAAGACATTGTGGAAATCATACCAGACCAGCTATGGCACCCAGTGTCTGCAATGTGCAGTTTATAGCCAATTCCTCTCCAGGGACCTGAGGGCAGGCCAGGCAAACCACAGATGGCACTGTTTCAGCAGAGCACTACGTCTGTGATTTTCTATACACAGATTTATATCTGTGCTCCCTGGATAATTAAGAATTTTCTAGACACCATAAGCTACTTTTTAAAAATGTGATTTTTTTTTACATAGAAAGAAAATTCATCTTTTAGAATGCTTAACAGATTTCCCATGTATCATACTGTGAAATATATATATTTGGTCTTTGTCCCCATCTCCTGGCATACAACTCCTAAAATTCTTGGAATCTCCAAAGTGATAAGTGTCTTTTTGTATGCTAATGAGTTGACTGATGGCTGACAGCCCCTGGGCAGCTTCAGGATGGGGTCTGTTCACAAAAAAAAAGCCAAGGCATGATTATAGGATTGAGATTTTCAGCTTTACTCCCAACCTCCAGAGAGGGGAGAGGGGCTGAACATTAAATTGATCACCAATAGCCAATGTTTTAATCAATCATACCTATGAAATGAAGCCTCCATAAAAACCTGAAAGGACAGGGTTCAGAGGGCTCTCATATAGTTGAACACAAGGTTTCTGGAGGGTGGTGCACCCAGGAAGGGCATGGAAGCTCTGTGCTCCTTCCCCCATGCATCTCTTGCCCTGTGCATCTCTTCATCTGTACCCTTTGTAACACCCTTTATAATAACGAACTGGTCAACATAAGCAAGCGTTTCCCTGAGTTCTGTAAGCTGCACTAGCAAATTAATTGAATCCAAATAAGAAATCCTGGGATTTATAGCTGGTCTGTCAGAAGCACAGGCAAAACAACCTTGGGTTTGCAATTGCACTGGAAGAGAGACAGGCTTGTTGAATAAATCTTCAACCTGTGGGATCTGATGCTGTTTTTAGGTAGATTGCATCAGAATTGAATTGGAGGACACCCAGCTGGTATCCACTCAGTCATTGATTGTTCACTTGTCCTCTGTATTGATTGTTGTGGTATGAGAGAAGAAAAAAGGAACAGTTTATTTTTTTCATTCAGAACCATCTAATAAGTTGTAGGCACTTGAAGGATTCCAAAAGTACTCATTTTTTTCTGGGGCTTTCTTCTGAGAGTCTTGTCAGTTATTTAATGAATACAAAGTGTAAAATAAACTTAAAATTTGAAGAAATTATAATCTGTTAAGATTTTTTAATATTAAAAACTATTTTAAAATTATATATATTTGTTCACTTTGAATGAATTTTAAAATCTTCCACTACAATGGAAAGATATCCAATTTAAGAGTTAGGAGAATTACATTAGAGAGCAGTTACAATTTCTAAAATGTTGGAACCCAAAAGTAACTCACATATATATATATATATTTTAAATGTCCCTATATTTTTGGCTCAGTGAGTGATGACTAAGTGATCAATAGGTAAAAATCCCATTAGGTACTTCTTTTCTGATTGGAAAAAGAGCATTTTAGGATTGCTATACTTTTAAAAGAAATACTACCTTTGTTTTCTTCATGGTTGCCTTAAGCATGACGATAGGTAGGAATAAGGCAGAAAGCCTCAAAGGGCGATTTAAGGGCATGGATGAAGAGTTAAACAAGCCACACAGTGAGAGCCATAAAGGTATGATGTCTCAAAGCCCAGAGTGGCCAATGTGGTCACAGCTATACAATGGGGTTTTTACAGAAGCTTCCAGAAGGGAATCTCTACTAAACAGTTGTGTATAGTTACAAGAATCAGGTCCTGTGACTGCTAGATTTGACAGAGAATGGAAAAGTAAGGATTTTCCATTAGAAAAGATGGAAAGCTAAACCGGCGAAGTGGTTATGGGTAAGAGTTGGAGGCAATGACACAGATATCCTACACCTCAAACCTTACAGGGCACTATATCTTGTAAGTTTACATAATAAAAGGTAGTCGTAATAACTGGTTAATGTTTTCTGTCAGTATTTTAATAAAACTTTGGACATTTACCAAAAATATTTGCTTCCCTCTCTTTTCTAAAAATGTTGGAGGCCTACCTAACAGTCTTCTTCAAATAGATATGTACCTTGCAGCAATTTCTTGGAGAAAAAAACAATGGGCATAACCCATTTGGAGGGCAAGTTGACAGTGTTTACTTAAATTTAAAACATGCATAATTTCAGGCCCAGAAAACTCTAGTTCTGTGAATGTACTCAAGAAAACGCTAGTATGTCTGCCTGAGAGGCACATGCAGGAGTATTCATTGCAGAATCAGAAGAGGACTGGCTGAATAAATGTGGTACATTCATACAGTGATGTAGACAGATACATCTAAAAAATTAAGCAAAGTACAGAATACTGTTTATAGCATGAAACCATCTATATAAAATTTAAAGCACAATAATACTTATCTTGCTTATGGATTTATGTATATGTAATGCAGAGTTACAAAAAGTGAACTAGAACATATATCAAGTTGGTAAGAGTAAATAGTTTTCAGAAAAAAAGAGGGTGACAGACCTGGGCATAGCAGACAAAGGCATATGCAGTTTTGAGGCAGGAGAATAGGGTCTGGGGACAGGGAACCCCAGGCCTTCCTAGAACTAAATCAATGGGAAAGACCCTGACTTTCTAAGACCAAGTAAATAACTTTGTAACTCTACTTCAGCTATGACAAGAAACATCCTCTTCATTTGCATAGGTGTAAAGAACTCTGTAACCTCACTTCATCCTCTTCATTTACATATGGCATACACCAAATAACCAGTGGGAAACCTCTAGAGGGTATTTCAACCCCAGAAAATTCTGTAACTAACCAGGCCCTTGAGCCACTTGCTTGGGCTTCTCCCACCCTGTGGAGTGTGCTTTCGTTTTCAGTAAATCTCTGCTCTTGTTGCTTCATTTCTTCCTTGCTTTGTTTGTGCGTTTTGTTCAATTTTTTGTTCAAAATGGTAAGAACCTGGCCATCCTCCACCAGTAACAGTTTTACTTGGAAATGTTTCATTTTTTTTATTTAAAAAAGTGTAAACATGACAAACAATAATTTCTAATCTGGGAAGTGGACACACATGTATTTATTTTAGGATTTTTATACTTTTTAAAATGTTTAGTTTTCAAAATTAAAAAAAATGTTGGAAAGAAAGGAGGATTTTGGTTTTTTTAAGATTGAATAATATTCCGCTGTGTATATATGTCACATTTTCCTTATCCAATCATCCATTGATTCTATGATAAATACATACAATTTTTATTTGACAATTAAAAATAAATTAATTAACTGAAAAAGAGATTGCAGTACCTAGGGATGGGAACTGGAGACACTAAGTGCTGAGGACAATTCCCCCAGCTGCTCTAAAGCTCAGGTAGCTGGGAAGCTACAGACAGAAAAAGCACACCTCAAGATCTCGAATACCAGCCCAAGAAAGAAACATTACATCTCCAGTGTTGTGGAAGATAAATGGATCTGCAGGCAAATATTAACCAAGAAGTCCCAGTTTCTACAAGAGTGAACACATTTAATTACTTGCATATTGCTACACAATACTTTTGCTAATTATGCTATCTAATAAAAATTTATTATTATTTAAAAAAGAAAGAAAAAAGAGAAAGGAAAGGAGAACTGAATTAAAAAAGAAGAAAAGAAAATCCTCGACAGGGCTGGTTTTGCAAATCTGAAGATCACAGTAAGAAAGCCATGGCGAACACCATGGGAGCACCCAAGTTTACTTAAAGACACCCAAAGCAACCATAATTAACCAAAAAACAAACCTATAGAAGGAAATTTGAAAATAATAATTTTAAAAATGTTTTTTGTAATTTTTTTGTGGGGAGCCCAGGGCTGTTTAGAGCAGGTTGGACACCATGAATAAAACATGGGTCCTACAGCAGAACAACAGTACCTCCCACAGCACTGGGTCCTGATGTGCATGACCTGTTCACCCTGGGCCCCTTCTGAGTGCTGGGCCCTGTTTATTTCTTGTTTTTCTTCACTCAGTGTTGGACATCTGGAGACCTAGATTTTAAACTAAGACACACTGAGATCAGATCCAGCTCTTGTAGAATCCCTGCAGTGGTCTTCAGCGACACTCTTTGGCTGAAATTTGTTTGAGACTATAGTATATTAAGGCCAACAGATCAGGCAATGACTGATGACTGCCATTGAAAAGTTAGTAACCAAGCAGCCACTTTTCATAGCAACTTTGAAATCCCACTAGGCAGGCATTCTAAAGAGTCCTTACTCTGGAAATAGAGAAGGTTCCTTGATTAGACCAGATTCTGTTCATTAGAAGGAATGCATGTGTCCATTATTTCTTCATGACAACATCTGCAATGGGTATTGATAAATCTGTCTACCTGGGCTATTAAGAAAATATAGGGTGTTAGTAGAAAATTTGATATGCAGAATAAGGCCATGCTTACCATGGAAAAGATGTTTATTACTCACAGTTCCTGGACACGGGACCTGGGGCTGGGGTGGGGAATTGAGATGAGGGGTGAGGAAGTATGCCGTGCCATGGTAGGGGCACACGGGAAAGCACTGGGGTTGGCAGGAGGCAGAGGGAGAGGGGAGAGTTGTGGGCAAGAGCTTTTATTGTGGTTTATGCAGGAAGGAGCAGGCGAGGCAGGGCTATGAGTTTACAATGGGTTTGAGTAATTTTAGCAAGTTCTGGGCCATAATGGCTGCCCCTCATTGTTTGTATCTGGTCTTGGGGCAATTAGGATGGAGGACAGTGGCCCTGAGTGTGAGAGCCAGCTAGAGGAGGTGGTGTGGATACGGGCTCTGGATTGGTTGGTTTGCATATGGGAAAGTTGGTTGCTGTCTCTAGGAATTACCTAGCCCTGGGATGGAGGCGAGGGAGGGACAGTCCCTCCAGGGTCAGCAAGCCCCCAGAAGTCAAAGCATCAAAATACAGGAAATGAAAGACATGTCTAATACAATATTCTGAGATGCAAATAAAATCCTGAAAGGAAAAGTTAAGAAAACTTTATCACCATTTAGAAGGTCTCTGTTGTCCTTACTGGGTTCCTGAGCACCTACACCGGGCCAATTTTCCAAATTCCAGAATTCCAAATTCACCTTGTCCTGGAGGAGGGTCAGTCAACATAGAGGGCTTGTAGCTCCTGCCCCGGTGAGTGCTGCTATCTTGAGGAGTCCAGTTCTGAAAGGCCCAGCACAGCCAAGCCTTACTTCCCTCCTGCTTGGCTAAACCTAACTCCTATAAGGGGGCAAGAAGTGCAGAAGCCCTGAGTGCTGCGCTGTATCCCTGGTGCATTGAATGAAAGTCAAATTTTCCATTATCTAGGGGAAAAGAGGAGGCACCAGGCAGAAATTGACCTACTGTGCCAGCAGCCTAGATTAGCTTGTTTCCCTCCAAGGAACTGCACCATAGTCACTGTCACTGGGGATGCCATGCTATGCTCTCTCTTGAATGAGCTCTTACCTCCCAAACCTGCTATTTTCAGCCCTCCCTATTGAGAGCAGTGTCTAATCATTATAATTTGATCACTTGGGCCACCGTGTTTGTTTTTCCTCATGCTGGCCTGGAAGGGAGAAGACCTTTCCTTGCATTCTGTTGTTTCTCCATCTCCCGGGGAGTGCAAACTTAAGCAGGGTCTAAGGAAGACAAGAGGGAGCAAAACTTACATCCAAACAGAAGCAAGTGCAGCACACTGTGGGTTGTATGTGAACAAACACTTTTCCTTCTTGCTGAGATGTAGCTGAAGTCTTCACACTGGAAGAACTGGAGAGAGTCCAAAGTTAAAACTCCTGCAGTGAAGGACCCAGGATTGAAGGAAAGCACCTCCCCTCCAATGACCTCCCAGTGGACACTGCGTCTGCTCACAGCCCTTCTGCCCAGCGTTCTCAGTGGTACAGCACCTGCTTTCTTTGTGGCTCATGGTTCCCCAAAGATTGCCACTATAGAGACAAAAGAATACCTGCTTGTTTAATGTCATTATTTCATTTCTTATTTTTGCCTTAATGCCTGATCCATCTACGATGTATATAAAAAATAAGACTATGAGTCAACTTTTCGTAATTGCCTTTAGATGTTCAGCTACTCAAAAAAAATTTAGTTGCCTTAAAATGTAGGCAAAATGAAATAGATACAGAAGCTGGCCTTTCCTATTTCTCTTTTCTGTCATTGTTTTTGTGACCATTCCATAACCACCAAAGATCAGCCAGCTGGGCCATCTCTGAATTGCCACAGAGGGACTGGAGGGAGGAAAATTCTACTAAATTGGTGTTCCGCAAAGCTCTTCTGTTTTGGGCACTTGGCTTAGGAGCAGGTTTACAGAATCCCAGGCACACTTCTCTGCATCCTGCCCCTGTCCCTTCCCCCAACTCCTGCTTCAATTCTGAGTTTTGGGGATAATGTTTCTGGGGCTACTTTGGAAAGCCGTGGCCAATATCCAAAGTCACATAGGGACTGTGTATGTGCACCTGTGTGCAGACGCACTGAGCAGGGGCGGGGATTGGCTGATCCGTGTTTGATTTGTGGCATCGGGCAGATTCACATTTAGTAATTTTGTCTTCTTTCTGCCTACCTCACGCTAGCCAACCCCAGGACACCTGTGCACCTTAAAAACCATTTTCCTCAGAATTTCTGGATTTATTTTCTACCCATGTTTTTAAATAAATCCTTCCTAATTTCATCCAGGAAGTTCTTAATTTCCTTTGGCCTGTACCTTTTAAAACATATTACACTTTGTTTATTTCCCTGAAAGAAGGGCTATCATCTTTTCTGGGAAAACGTTATAATAAGGGACTAAAATGGCAACTAGAAACAAAACAAAATGAAACAGGAACTCTTCTGTGAGCAAATGTGATGCAATTGTGTATCACTGTTGACACTAGCTCTGTTTCTGGAAAAAGTTGTATGTAAACTACAACAAGTAATGTTGTTAACGCCCTAGGAGGTTCATTTCTTTTTTTGTTTTTTGTTCTTTGTTTTTTTTTTTTTTTTTTTTTTTTGAGACGGAGTCCCACTTTGTCGCCCAGGCTGGAGTGCAGTGGCGTGATCTCGGCTCACTGCAAGCTCTGCCTCCCAGGTTCACGCCATTGTCCTGCCTCAGCCTCCCGAGTAGCTGGGACTACAGGCGCCCGCCACCACGCCCAGCTAATTTTTTTTTTTTTTTTTTTTTTTGTATTTTTAGTAGAGACAGGGTTTCACCGTGTTAGCCAGGATGGTCTGGATCTCCTGACAGGAGGCTCATTTCTATAAACACTTTTTATAAACTGGTTTTAATCAAATATTGTAACTACCCCAAGTGTTCTGTTTTGGCAAAATACATATGTATGAAAGCCTGTGGCTTTAAATATAAAGATTCGTAGAGAACGGTGGGATAAGTAACTTTTATGGTTTGTAATATGACTTGTTGTGTGTTTCACTCTTCTCTCCAGCAACCAATTATCTAGTGCCTGCCAATGATACGGCTTCGATGACTGGAGGAACACTAGGGTTTTTGGTATTGCGCCGATTAAGATAAAATGACACGGACACACATGGAGTGATTTTAAGGAGCAGAGAATTTAGTAGGCAAGAAAGAAGAAAACAGCTCCCCTGTACAGAGACAGAGGGAGTGGGGATTTGAGCAAAGAGAAACCCCCTGTGCTGCAGAAAAGTGGTCGCTAATATTGGGATGCTAGAGGAGGTGGTGTTTGGCTTGCATAGCGCCCAGGGGATTGGTTTGACCAGGTGTGTTATTTACATAGCCAGAGAAAAACCTGGGCTTCCCACCTTATTCCTTTAATATGCAAATGCGGGTTGTCATGATGTTCCGAACACAAGGTGGTGTTATTTGGAGGCGGCCATGACACTTGGCACAGGTGGTGACAAGGAGAAGACTGAGGGAATTGCCATTTTGGCCATGTTGGGTGGACCTAGCTTTTAGTCGCCTGCATTTGCATATTAAAGCTTGCTGGCCTGGCTCTTTAAGCCTAGAAAATAAATGGTTTGAGGGTTGTTTCTCATAGGAAAATTTCCACTGAGAACCTTTACCCTTACTATTTGCCTAAAAATTATTTTTTAATAAGTCCCGTATTATCGACTCTAGACCAGGTGCTACCCAAAGCCCGGTTGTTCTCCCACCCTGTGCACCTTGTCTACGTCAGGGTGCTGTTGAAAGATTATTGAGGCCATGTCTGTAGGAAAGCCAGAGCTTCAAGAACAACAAAAACAATGTAAACAGGACTCCTTTCCTATTCTATTAATTCTATTGAAATTATTGAAAAATAATTGTCCTTGCTTTATTTTAAAATTACATGTATTGGTTTTCATCACCCAGCAGCCAGAATACATTTGTAATTTGTTTTCCATCTCACTTTTTGCCTTTTACTAGTCTTGTCATGAGATGAAATTGGTAGTTTTGGGGCAGTAATTGAGAATAAATCAAGATTCTGTGTTTTATAAGTATTTTGGAGGAAAGTTTCATTAAAAAGAAAATTAACTTAGGTTCTTCAGACAAAATGCCAGGGAAATTTTGACAAAGTGAGCTCCCCAAATCTAACCCGTCTAAGTCATGTGGTAGCAGAAACCCACAGACTCTCACAAAGACATGCAATGGGCTCTAAACTTAAGTGCAGATACTTTGATTACATTTCTTAAATTTCTCCATGAAGTTTCATGAGAAAAAAGAACCGTACAAAAACACAATGGCAGAACAATCACATTCTTCAGTGACCTCCTCTTGTGTGTTAACAATGCCTACGATGCATCCCTCCGATGAGCAGCAGGGCTGCACCTGCCACGAGGGGCTGGGCTGCAGGCTGAGCCCTCTGGCTTTGCTGAGAAGGGTGGTGATGGCATCGCCTGTACAAAGATTTCCAGAGGTACTTGCAGAGGAGGAGGGCAGACCATCAGTGCCTCTTCACCTATAAAGTCATGCAGTGGGACCTTAGAGTTATGATGGACTCATATATGTGTGTTTTCCTCAAATTTCCTGATTTTAAATTAGACAATTGAAGGATCAGAAAATTTGCAACTAAGTGAATATTAAAATATATTAAACAAGTGTTTTTCTATGGATGAATGGATAAATAAAATGTGGTATATCTATACAATGGAATATTATTCAGCCTTGAAAAGGAAGGAAATTCTAATACATGCTACACCATGGATGAACCCTGAGGACATCATGCTAAGTAAAATTAGCCAATCATGAAGAGACAGACACTATATGGTCCCACTCCTATGAGGCTCCTAAAGAATCAAATCCATAGAGACAGAAAGTAGAATAGTGGTCACCAGGGGCTGTGGAGAGGGGGAAGAGGGAGTTAGTGTTAACAGGAACATTGGGAGGGCTGGGGTGGGTGGATCACCTGAGGTCAGGAGTTCGAGACCAGCCTGACCAACATGGTGAAACCCTGTCTCTACTAAAAATGCAAAAATTAGCTGGGCATGGTGGTGCATGCCTGTAATCCCAGCTACTCGAAGCTGAGGCAGGAGAATCACCTGAACCCGGGAGGCAGAGGTTTTAGTGACCCGAGATCGCGCCATTGCACTCCAGGATGGGCAACAAGAGAGAAACTCTGTCATGAAAAAAAACCAAAACCAAAACAAAACAACAAAACAAGAAAAACAAAACAAAAAAATAGGAACAGAGTTTCAGTTTGGGAAGATAAAAAGAATTCTGTGGATGGATGATGCTGGTGCTTGCAAAACCATAAGAATGTATAATACTAAAGCCACTGAACTATACACTTTAAAATGTTTAAGAAGGCTAATTCTGTGTTATGTGCATTTTGCTGCAACTTAAAAAACTTAAAAATACATTAAAAGAATTCTCAATTCTGACAGCAATGATGATTGGTGGCACTGTTAAGGTGAAATTTTCTCCAAATGCAACTGCATTCTATTTAGTCAATTTATAATTAACATATTAAAGATCTCATGTCTAGAAATTGACCAATTTACTAAGATTGTTAAGTGTGAGGATGTTGGGTGCACCACACTGTCATAGTAAAAACCTGGAGCAAGCTGAATTCCCATTCATATGGAGCAATTAAATAAATTATGATGATTCCATAAAAGAAGTGCCGTGCAACAATTATAAAGGCAATTGTGCCAATGTAAAAAGAAGTGCAAAATAAAACATGCAAAACAGGAAATGATGATCAGTATACATAGCATCATCCCAGTGAAAACAGAAAAATCTAAATAAAAATAGTAAATACAAAAATATATGTGTATGCTTGCATTTACTTGGAAAATGCTGGCAGCATATCTAACAAAATGGTAATGATAGTTACCTAATCTATCTTAAATATGGTATAATAAATTCATATATAAATAGTGAAGTAAGACAAACCAAAATAGTGATTAATTCTGCCAAATGAAGAAGGGGTTGTGAGTTGGGGTCTTTTACTTTTCATTTTCCATACTTTCGTATTATTTGAGATTTTTTATTTTTACTAAATGTGAAAAGCAAATAAAAATAATTAGAACATTTAAAAACCAAAAAATTTTATGCATACTTCACTATTTTGTAAAATAATATAGAGTAAAAATAAAAAACAGAAAAAAGTAATGCAAGCCAATGTGGAAATAAGTATAATCCAGAAAACAACCATGAAGAAAGGATCCCATCCAGACTACAGGGAACAGACTGAGAGACCTCAGTGGCTTCCAGTTGCTAATGTGTGTGATTCCCACACTGGGTAACACAGGAGTGTTTGACCAACAATCAACTGAATACTGGTTCTTGTTTCTCATTGTCATGGAATTTGCCGAATCTCACTTTTGGCTTCACAGAGGACTTTGTGAGCTCCAAGCATGAAAAGTGGCATTTATAACTCCCCCTGGAATTTCCATGTACCCAGGACACTGCCAGGCCAAAGGATGAATCACAGCTTCTTAGAATTGTGGAAGCCATTTTGGAAACAGCTGCCAAGTAACTAATGCTATTAAAAATAGCTCCCTAAAAAATGAATTGCTTATTTTAAGAAGACAAGAGTGGCTTGAATCTGTGCTGCTCACATTTTTCATCTACTGGGCACAGTGCCCGTGGATCCAAGAAAGCCCTGCTTGTCAGATGGGAATACCATCTGTACAGATGATGCCCCGCACATGCAAGAGCCTGGCATTTTTGGGCCAGGGCTAACCAGGGTAAAGTCTGAATCACCCCATGTGGAATCCGTCTCCTACGGGGTGTGGACTGTGGGGCATGAATTCCAATTGCGCTTTCCTTACATAACTTTGCTCTTCAGATCCCTGGTTCCGAATGTGGGGTGTATGCAGTATGGCCCACTGGAAGTACATGAAAATGCTAGAAGGTGAATCTACATGTATTTTTTGATCTAATGAAAACAAGCAGGAAAATAAGTTGTACTGACAGGTAATGTGCAGACTGATACTGCTGTCTTGACTCAGACTGTGTTGGGCAATTGTCTTTCCCTGTGAATTCCGTGAAGAAATGAACCCATCCAGACCCATCCCATGGCAATAGGATTGATGGTGCCAACCTCCCATGTTTGTTTTATGCCCCCTGTGTTGTGACGTGGGGCAGTTAACCTATTTCTGGCTTAAACAGTGTCAAAAATAAACAAAGCCAGGCACTAGTTAAAGTGGTAAGAAGAGACTTCAATCAGCACTTTGATTTGTGCAGCAGTGACTAGGCATTTTAAAGGAAGAATAAGGGAATGAGGAGAGGTGTGAGTGGGGACTCAGGAGAGTCAGGGAAGTGAAAAATCATCAAAGGCGGGAGGGAGGAAGCTTGGTCCATGTGGAAACTATCTGGATTTTCTAAGTGCTCCTTCTCAAAGCGCTGCCCTTCTGGAGGCTGGGAGACAGGGTACTTATCTTCAGGTTTTGGCTGAAACAAACAGTAAATTCCTTGGGCAGCCCTGCATTTCTCAGGCAGGCACTTTAAGGAGATTAGGGGCATGCTAAGGATGTGGCCTTGAGCTGCTAGAAACTGTGTTTGTGTTTGTTCAAGCCTTTATAGGCCAAGGATGAGGCCTAGTGGAGAAGGGGGCTCAGTGGAGCCTGACTAGAATTTGGTCAAGAAGAGAGTCTTTGTCAGTAGCCCTGCAGATATCATCTGTCTAAGAATATAGGATGATTGTCACATTTTGTAATGAGGTGAAGGAATGATCATACAAATAATTTGTGCCTCTTAGAGGCTCCTAAGTTATCTCAGGGCAAATAAAGTACAGTTATAAAGTTTAAGGATGAATTAGAAATTTTTCATTTACAAAAAGACAAGTGTGCCAAATTTGGAAAATATTTAATAAGGACATTCTTGTCACTAGAACACGGATGTTTTTGAAAACGAAGGAAAAGATATACACAGGAACACACACATTCATGTACAATGTGGAGGTGACAAGTTAACAGTAACAACGAAAGTACTTTTCAGAAGCAACTCATGTGACGTAGAGAGCAGTTTGCAAATATTTCCATTGGTTATGTGATATATTTTTCCAAAAATTTTGTATTTCTCCTCCCAAAACAAATAAATCTATGATAATACCGGACCTGGTTAAATGCATCTGCCTTGAGTCATTCGGCACCCCTTTGGGCCCACCCCTCATTCCTAAACTCCCCCAGCTGTTCTTCCTATCCTAGAATTCAGGGGCCAGACTTCAGACCACCCAGCACAATAGGAGCCCCAGCAGAGCCCAGGTCCAGCCCAGTGGCACTCACAAAAGCCATGGCTTCCACAGTCTCTGCCTGCAGGCAGGGAATATAACCCAGAAGGCAGGAAAGCTACAGTGGTTCATCTTTGCAGGATATTATAAAAATAATATCAAAATCATCAAAAAAGTGAGAAATTTTTCCAATTTATTACACTGTATTTTAATTATAGATGAGAGGAGAGGATGGTCTGCCAACTTATTTTCTGTGTATAGGAACTACACAGAAAATAAGTAATGTCTCATTCTGTTAAATTTTCTGCTTTTGAGCAAATGTGTATAATGTAATATATTAATTTGTAACAATACATAAGGAACACATGCTCAAAAGTTTTTAACTAATAGGGCTTCACATTCAGAAAAGTTGGGAGTCGACTGCTTCAGACTCATGTGCCCTGAAGTACACGCAGCCCCTGGGTGGAGGCAGGATAAGGAAGTACAGCTGACAGGCTGAACACCTGTAGGCCAGAGAGCAGCTTTTTGGGGCCTGGAAGGCGTGGATGGGACAACCTGGCCTTGATGTCAAGTCTTTAGAGCATCCAGTCCATAATATTAAATATTACCCAGAATGTGATCTGACGGGGATCCTTCCGTTAGATGTGATGCCATATTAGGACGTAGCACACTCAGGGCCTTGATAACTATCGTTTTAGGGTCATAATACCCTCCCAAGTATTCACCAACAATTTGCTCTGCCATTCTGTTGATTCCGTGTTCTTTTCATTCTCTTTAGGGCCAGAAGAAGCCTCTAGGTCTCACACATAGAAAATAAGTTGGGAAGGCTGGGCGCGGTGCCTCACGCCTGTAATCCCAGCACTTTGGGAGGCTGAGGCAGGCAGATCACCTGAGGTCAGGAGTTCAAGACCAGCCTGACCAACATGGTGAAACCCTGTCTCTACTAAAAATACAAAAATTAGCTGGGCGTGGTGGGCGCACCTGTAATCCCATCTACTCAGGAAGCTGAGGCAGGAGAATCACTTGAACCCTGGAGGCGGAGGTTGCAGTAAGCTGAAATCACGCCACTGCACTCCAGCCTGGGCAACAGAGCGAGACTCCGACTCAAAAAAAAAGAAAAAAAAAAAGAAAAGAAGTTGGCAGAACACCCTCTCCTCCCAATTGTAATTAAAATATAGTGTAATAAATTGATCAAAATTCTGACTTTTTGATGACTTTAATGTTTTTTTAATATCCTGCATCAAATTTTATCCCAAGAATATTGACTCAGTGGGTGTGTGTGCATACCTGCGCATGTGTGTTCACCCCTGATTTGCTGTAAACATTGCTGGCTCTGCCTCTGGTTAATCTAGCACAGATTCTCCTTGCCATGTTGTAGCTTTGGTTCAAGAAAGATGATGGGGTGGGGAGCAGTCATGAGATCCTGGCACCACCGCTTCCTGCTTCTCCTCTTCTGCCCACTGGTTTTACTCAACATTTCCTGGTAATTCATTAGGTGATGCTGTCCTTATTGCTGCCAAGGTTTTTCTCACCCATGTGTACTCTACTCTATTTATTGCATGGATACTCATTTAGTTGGGTTCAGTGATGACAATGCCTTGACACTGGGAAGATTAATGACTCAATAACCGTCAAGACAAGATAAATGTGAGGTTAGGTTGATTGTATGAATTGTTTCTTTGGAGGCTGGTGGAGTGTCTTGTTATGCTTCCCCCAGAACCTGAACCTTGGGTGACTGCATCAGGGTGGTCCAGTGTCCCACTATGTTTGCAGTCATTGGCACATTACCATGGTTTCTTCTTTCCCTCTCATATTTTCTCTAAGATGCAAACTAAAAAGTAATTCTTCTAGATTGCTGGAACCAGTGCTTAATGAATGAGTTATTAATAAAAAGGAGTTACAAAAGGATGTATATGCTCATCTAATGAGTAGACACTCTGCTTACACAGCCATTCAAAGACTTTAACCACATATTTCTCTGACTATATGAACTAGATACATTTCTTCTCCACAGTGGGATGTACTGCATGATATTTTTAACTGACGGGAACTTAGGTAGAAAACACATTTCAATTTTGAATGCAAACATGTAAAATACAATAAGGAAAAGGTGACCCAAAGAGAAATTGAAATATGCATCTGTGGCTAAGTACTCTAGGGAGATATTCAGAATTCTGAATACGAACTTCACTCTTGGGGGGATTCCACTTAGGCAGAAGCTGGGAATGGTGGGGGGAGAGCACTGCATTTGGAGGGAGAAGACGTATCTCCTTGCTCTGATTTTACCCTTTGCTACTTTGATCAGTTCACTAAAGTGGTGAGCCCCACTTCTCCAGCAGTGGTGATGGAAGGTTCTATTTACCATGTGCCCAGAACTGTCCTGCTAACCAGACAAGTAACCTGTCAAAGCATCTTGTTTTTACTGATGAATAAACAGAGGCACAGAGAAATTGAACAATCTGCCTCAAATCACACAGCTGACCGTTGGAGGAGGCAGGATTTTGAATCTAAGCATTTGAGCCCCAGAATCTATTTGTAGTCAGTGTCCTATACATTTTTTAAAGCAAGCGTTTTCAAATATTTTCTCCTCCTTTTATGTCTTCTCTATTTAAAAATGTCCCCACCTCCCTTCCAAATCTCTCCAATTGAAGAAGTGAAAGGAAGGGCTAAAGGTCTTTAGTGGCCAATGGGGCAACTGAGAATGAAGCGATAAAGTCAGGGAAATGAATAAAACTCATTCACATGAAGAATTCCCTCAAGACTCTATACCTCACCTCTTGACCTCTCTACTTGATCTTTTTTAGGTAATTTTTGGAATAGTTTGGTTGAGAACATAGCAGTTGAATGTTTTCAAGTAGGAGAAAACATTAAAACACCATACTTTTGAATAAACTTAAGGAAAGAGAGAAAGATGGAAAGAGAAAAAAGGAAGAAAAGAAGGGAAGAAGGGCGAGAGGAAAGAAGGAAGGAAGGGAGGGAAGAAAGGAAGGAAGAAAGAAAAGAGGGAAGAAGGAAAAGAATGAAGGGATGAAGAAAGAAGAAAGTAAAGAAGGAGGAAGTGAAGGAAGAAGGGAAGAAAGGAAGGAGGGAAAGAAGGAAGAAAGAAGGGCCCTTTGACATTTGTTCGAGTTTAGGAAAGCTGATAAAAGGTAAATTGAAAGGGTCTGTCTAGTTTACATTTGTAGGTACTCAGTAGTACTTGTCAAGCAAATGACTCCCTCCAAAAGCCAACTTTTGCATATTAGCTATAAAGTTTTGCAGTTTTTGCCACACATCAACTGCCTAACTTTGAATTTTTCTTACAAAATCTCAAATTCAACATGAAAATGTTTCCGAACTTGGAATTGTATTCCCTCTCTTTCTCCTTGGCTAAATGTGACTGCCTTCTTTTGTGTAGGACCTTGCAACACCTCCTTGCTTTCTCAGGAAGCTAAACTGCAAAGAAGAAAAACCTCACTCTTAAGGACAGTTTTTTTTGACCTGGGGAATGAGGTGGAAAAGTCAAGCTAAGAAAAGCTGAGGCACTTTCCGATCTCTGTCTTATCATGTGTCTCAGAAAATAAACACGAGGACATGCTCATGGGAAGCTGATAATATTAAACATGTTAAGTCCTTATAGGCATGACGAAGTCATGGACATTTCAGTGAGTGGACACAAGGCTATTCTCATAAAGAAGCCATGTGAACAATGAGCTTTGTTTGAACTCTCAGGGACAGGGGGCTTATTGAATTTCTGGTTAGAGTGAGAGTGACCTCTGTGTAGGAACTCCCAGTTACCTTCTCCCTGTGGCTACTTCCTGCTGTCCCATGATGGGCTCTGCTCTGGTCTCCTCCCCTCATTTGTCTTGAGCTCATCTCTCCATGGACCTTCAAGGATTTTAACCCAAATTTCTAAAGTTTCTCTAGTCTAGATCAACTTCCTACATTCACTCTTGGACACCTTCAGTTCATTTACCATGCTGCCACTGGAGATCCTGCTGAAAGGCAATTTTGAACATGTTTCTCCCTTTATCAAAATCACTGTTAGGGTGGTAAAACAACTCTTTATGATACTACAATGATAGATATATGTCCTCTGCATAGAATGTACAAAACGCATAGAACATACGACACCAAGAGTGAGCCCTAATGGAAACTATGGGTATTGGGTGACGATGATGTGTCAATGCTGGTTCATTGACTGTGTAACAAATGTTCCACTCTGGTGCAGGATGTCAATGGTCAAGAAGGCTAATGGAGGACATTAGGGGGTATATGAAAACTCTCTGTACTTTCTGCTGTCATTTGTTGTGAACCTAGAACTGCTTTAAAAAAATGAAAGCTACTAAAAAGCTACTAACACTCAATGACTTCCCATTGCATTAGACATAAATGCATTACTGTTGTTAGCACCACAGTGGGCAAGATACTGAGCCCCTAGACATGCTGCTTCCTTTGCTTGGTATGTTTTCTTCTCTCCTCCCGCTGCCATCTGTAATTCTTACTCAGCTCAGCATACACCAACACAAGAAAGCTTTCTTTGACTCCCCAGACTGAGCCAGGATAGGTCCCTTTGATAAAGGCTTCAGAGCCAATTAAACTATACATTGTGTAATGAATTGTTGAATGTCTGTCTTCCATCAGAAGGGAGAGTCCATCAGAGCAGGACAATATCTGACCTATTTATGGCTGTGTCCCCAGCATTTAATGCAGAGGCACTCAATACATATTTGAGGAATACCTGAATGAAGCAATTTAATATTTACAAAAAGTGGCCACATTCATTTTCTGTTTAATCTGCTCGTATTTGGAAGATAGGCATATTTACTTCATTTTATAAATAAAAAACCCCTGAGACTTAGAAAAGTTAGATGACTCTGTAACAGGTGGTCGAGCTAGGATTAGGATTTGTATATTTTAAATTTAAGTCGAACATTCTTTCCACTACCCTGGACAGTGCCAATCTCCAACATTTAAAATGTATCAGTCACTTAAATGTATTATGCACATTTCTTCTAACTGAAGCATTTGTGGGTGGTCAGAGATTTTACTTATATTTATTAGCTAACACATCATGATTTTAGCAAGGTCTCCACCTCCTCCATGCAAGCTTCAACCACTTCATTCTTAGCTATATGCCTAGAAACACACAGAATTGCATGCAGAGTGTATATGTGCATGAGTGAATACACATGGTATATTGGCTATATGGTTTATAATATACAAACGTATTCTAA
The DNA here is from genome assembly GCF_000001405.40 of Homo sapiens. NCBI lineage: Eukaryota > Metazoa > Chordata > Mammalia > Primates > Hominidae > Homo > Homo sapiens. The sequence continues at coordinate 232,149,625 of NC_000001.11, forward strand.
ACATCCTGTGTATATCCTATAGATTAACATTTGCCCTGCAGACCTCGTTAAGTATACTCAGCATAGCAGAGGGCTTCTTTTTTATAAGATAAAAAATGATATTCTGAGTATGTTTAGACATACTGGAGAAGGAGGGAATGTCTGGAACCCTAGTCCCACCCACGAGGGTTCAAGAAGAGGCCAGAGCAATAGGAGCTTTGCCATGGGCCCCTTTATGGAGATTGCAACAATGAAAGACTATCGAAAGTGAAGATAATGAACTCTTAGATTTAAAAATAAGCTAGTACTGGAGATGAGTTAGTTATTTATTCCAAAGAGGACACGCAAACCAAAGAAGATATTCCTCCATGCCGTGCAAAAAAAGACAATGCATAGGCAAATATTCTAAAACAAATAAACTTTGAGGATAAACAAATATTAAATCATTTAAAAATCTGTTAGGGAACCTTTTATGAGTCAAGTTCCGTGCTCAATGTCATGAGTAAAGTATGAGTCATTAAAGTCATTTCCACTCAAGAATTTAATATACATATTGCTGTTTCACTAATTTTGCGTGTTATTACAAGTGCCTGAATTCAGAAAACATTTTCTCATGCTGAGAAGAGCGCTTATTGTTCATAATGTAAATTTAACCAGTGCCTGAAATCCAAATATTCCTTAGTTCAGATATTACCAAGTATTCAGACCATAGCATCCAAGTTGCAAAAAAGAAAAACAAACAACTGATAGCTCATCAAAATAGCTGCATTAATTGTGCATTTCAATATAACCTTGAAATATATAATGTCACAAGTGGTTTTTTTGGTAGCTGAAGATGGTAGCAAAAATGTTTTTAGCACACATCTTTTAAATATATATTTTAAATTAAAAAGTACTCTGTTTTCTTTCCTTCTTTCTTTTCTTTTTTTTTTTTTTTGAGACAGAGTCTTTCTCCGTCACCCAGGCTGTAGTGCAATGGCACCATCTCAGCTCACTGCAACCTCTGCCTCTCAGGTTCAAGCGATTCTCCTGCCTCAGCCTCCCTAATAGCTGGGATTACAGGCATCTGCCACCACACCCAGCTAAGTTTTGTATTTTTAGTAGAGATGGGGTTTTGCCATGTTGGCGAGGCTGGTCTTGACCTCCTGACCTCAGGGGATCCACCCGCCTTGGCCTCCCAAAGTGCTGGGATTACTGGTGTGAGCCACCACTGCACCTGGCCAAAAAGTACTCCATTTTCTAATGCAATTATCCTTTAGGGTACACTCGGGATGTATAAGAACCTTCCCCTACCTGGTCTTCTAGAAGGGCCAGCCTCCAGAGGCTGCTGTGGTCATTGCCCTTTTGCTGCTAATAAGTGTAGCCTCAGGTAAGAGAAGGGTTAGTCATAACCCGCCTTAGTTCAGAAAGACCGGGCGCTCTCCTGGTCTTTCTGAGAGCAGCTACCCTAACAGGCAGCCAGCAATATTTCATGGCTAGGCATTTGGTTCCTTTCACATAACTGTTTCTGGGTATGCTTTTAGAAAATGTTTCTAATATTTTACCTCTTCATTTAAAATGATTTTTGATTTAGAAAATGGTTGTCAAAATACTAAATGAATTTTTGGTATAGCCTTCACCCAGGTTTCCCAAATGACAGGAAAACTTTCAAAAATCAGGAAGTTAAGACTGACTCAATCCTATTATCTAATCTGCAGACCTTCCTCAGATTTCACCCATTGTCCTATGAAGCCCTTTTCCTAATCTGGGATCTGATTCACAATCACACGTGGCATTTAGTTGTCATGTTTCCCTGGTCCCCGTTAATCTGGAATAGTCTCTCCATCTTCCTTTGTCTGTCATGATCGTGACATTTTTCAAGAATACTGGCTAGTTCTTGTGGATACTATTTCTCAGTTTGGGTTTGCCTGATGCTTCCTTGTGATTAGATTCAGACGATGTATGAACTTCTGCTAGACACATCCCAGAGTCCTGCTATGTACTTGTCAGTGCATCACACAAGGAGCACACAGCCCATTTGCCCATCCCATTTCTGGTGATGGGGACTTTGATCACTTGGTTAAGTTGTGTGTCTGCCAGCTTCCTTCACTGTAAATAGATTATTTTTCTCTTTGTAATTAATAAGTGTCTTGTGAGGAGATACATTGAGACTATGTGACTATTCTGTTTCTCATTATGCTTAATACTTTTGTCCGCTAATTTTAGACTCTACTGAAATAATGATCTGTATGGTGTTTGCCAAATGGTAATTTTCTATTTCCATCATATCTTTTACATTTTGTAGTTAAAAATCTACCAAAAAGCTTTCTTTTTCCCCCATTTATTTATTTATACAATTATATATTTATATCAGTATGGAATCACAGATGTACTCCTGGTTTCATTGACTGAGAGGGCCTGGAAGCAATCACACCCCAATATCAATAAGCACATCATCTATTACCTAAAATTTCTATTGCGTTCTGATTCCAGGTCTGGGGCAAGGAAAGTACCAGACAAACCTGAACATTTTGAGGTGCCAGAAAGTAAGGAAGATCTCAAAAAAATGATGGGAACATATCAAAGGTATGTAGACCCAATTTGAAAGGACTCCTCATGGCCAAATCTGTGAAAATTTGAGAAAAATAAATAATAATAATAAATTATTAATATAACCCACAATAATATGAGAATCCATGAGTCTAAACTGATGTAGATAAATAATTGGGTATGCTTTTAAATAACATATTTATTCATATTCTCAGGAGCCATGACATTTTAATAATAAAATATTTATATTCCAGGGAAAAACACCTTCTTGACGGCTGGTTATGATGTTTCTAATATAAGATGACGGATGGAGCTCATCCACCTTCCCACCATCTTAAGGTTCACCTTAATAAATGACACAATGTTGGGTTTCAAAAGTGAAACATCATAATGCTAGAATACATTTTAAAAGTCCCAACTGTGGACCAAAAACTTTGAGAAATCATTGAACATATTAGAACAGATGGGATATAGGCTTAAATGTGATACAAGGAGCTGAGATGGAAAATTATACTCTTCATCTTCTGAAGTTTTGGTTGAAACAAACCTCACATTTACATATATATACTTACTTACAGTGGTATGAGTCGATCCATATATGTTAAGTATAAGTACTCTAAATATTTAGACAAATCTTTATAATAGTCCCCATAGGATAACTTAATCTCATGTAATCCCTATAAGAAACATATCTAAATTTAATCATATTTAATATTCCTAAATGTGGTTGAATCATATTTTCAATAAGTTAATTACAAGCTGGCACACACATGGAGAGTGAATATCTTAGATTCTTTTACTTAAACCATGTCTTAAACTAAGAATTTAAAACCTTGAGCTTGTCATTTTCATTCATTAAGCCTTCCAGCATAGTCAAAGATAGCCGGTTCATCCAACAGTTCTAAAATTCCTCATCTTCATAAGCTCTTAATTTCATATAAACACAGCTAGTAATTTACATATGGTGTAGTGAAAAGAATACAGAAATTGAATCCATAAATTTGTGTTTGAACCAAATGTCCGTCACTTACAGTTTTGGCTACACAGATAAATCATTTAAAATTCTCTGAGGATCTTTTTTACCTGCGTCTACACTTACTTTTCTTCCCCCTCATCCTCTACTCCTGGTCTGCTAGATCCTTGGATATTACATAGCACAGAGGATGATAATAGGGCTTTGGAATTAAATAACCTAAATTTAAGTCCTGCCTTTCAGCTGACTAGCTTGGGGGCCTTGGACTATTCCGTGCGTCCATTTCTCCATCAGTAAAATGACAGCAGTGACAATACAGCCTTCTTCATATGGTTACTGTGAGGGTCAGTCTAAATGGAATCAGGCTCTTAGTTGTAGAAAGATATCTATTCTAACTAGTTTTAGCAGAAAGCAATGTTTATTAAAAGATACCAAGAGTGTCTAAATTCATGGGAATAAGAAGCGAACATTGCAAATGGATCATTAGTTGTAATAGTGCAAGAAGACACTTCCACTTTCACCCCTTTGTTCTTGAACAATGTATAGTGGTTGTAAAAGAAACAGCAGTAAAGAGCATACAGTACATCCTGGAGGACAGCACTCCACATTTGCAAGGTGTTTCCTTGTGAAAGAAGTCTTACTGAGTTTTCAATACAATCATTTTATGTTTTCTCCAAGGCTTTCTGAGCAAAGGGATGCATGCTGGGAGCAGAGAATCCCATCTGTATTAATCATGTCTTTTATCCTCTGTATTCTGATTTATTGGCATCTGAGGCCTTGCTGGCTGTGGAGGGACTGCCCCTCCCAGGATTAACCAATTCCTAGATAGTCAAGGACCATCCTGACTAGCCCCAGAGATAGAGGGGAGCATGCCTTTCATGTGCAGATTAACCAGTCCAAAGTGTACACCCCCATGCCTCCTTTAGCTGGCTCTCACACTCTGGTCTACTATGCACCTTCCCTAATTACCCCAAAGCCAAGTACCAGACAACTAGGGATAGCCCCTATGCCTTAGAGCCCACTGAAATTATTCACACTAGCCAAGCCTAAGCCTGCTTGCCCTGCCTTCGCTATCCCTCTGTGTAGAAATAAGGGCTCTTGCACATTTTCCCCTCTGCCTCCTGGCTGAATCTGGTGCTTCCTGGTGTGCCCCCCACCCCAATGCCATGGCATGGCTCCCACGCCTTAGGAATTGTAACAAGCTATGCTTTCAATGGCTAACATCTCTTGAGCTGTTGGCCTCACCACACCTGAATAATAATAAATCCTATATTTTAAAACACACTTCATATCAGCCCATTGCCTTAATTTGCTCACTGTAAAACCACTTTCTTGAATAAAAGCAATGTTGGTTAAGATGGTATCATGGTGAATAATAACTGCAGGGACTGCGTTCCTTGCAGAAGCATGGCAGAAAGATAACACGAACTTAAATCTAGAAAATGTGGCTTTTCCATGAGAAATAAAAATAACAACCTGCCTCCAGGTTCGCTGATAGTCCTTATGTGCTATGGTGGTGCATTTGGGGCTCAATTTTATTTCTGCTGGGTAGTACCTAGAGAAGAGTTGGAGAAATTCAGTTCGGTATTAGAGCCCATGTATAACCTCTGTCTCTGCCTCTATGGCTGCTTTATTCATAAACCAACTGGGAAAGCACTAGAATCTCTGGGAAAAGAGACTCACTTACATTCATCTAGTCTACTGGATTATTGAGGGCTCCTCTGTGGGGGAAGAATTTTGTAGCTCATCACCCTGCAGAATCAGGTTCAGCAAGGCCTAGGACATTACTGTACATGACTATAGACTTCATAAACACTTAGGCTACAGTAAATCTATGAAAACAGTAAAGTAATTACACTGTGAGATTACAAAATTTACAGTGCCACTAGGTGACAGGAATTTTTCAACTCCATTATAATCTTATCGGACCACCATCACATATGTGGTCTGTCTTTGATTTAACATGTGATTCTGTATTGCATGACCATATTTGCAGCAGCATGCACAGTACCTTGAATAGTGACTATCATGGTAGCAAACTCTCAACAAGTTTTAAAATATTTTATGTACTATTTTTTCTACTTGACTGATCTGACCTATTTTGCTGCTATACACTTCCTGATACATTGAGGACCCTAAGACAAGGATACATTTTTTTGAAAAACAAACAAACAAACAAAAAAATCTATCAGGTTTGTCAAAGATCAGCCTGGGGAAAGAATTCCCTATTTAATAAATGGTGTTGGGAAAACTGGCTAGCCTTATGCAGAAAACTGAAATTGGACCCCTTCCTTACACCTTATACAAAAATTAATTCAAGATGGATTAAAGACTTAAACCTAAGACCTAAAACCATAAAAACCCTAGAAGAAAACCTAGGCTTTACCATTCAGGACATAGGCATGGGCAAAGACTTCATAACTAAAACATCACAAGCAATGGCAACAAAAGCCAAAATTGACAAATGGGATCTAACTAAACTAAAGAGCTTCTGCACAGCAAAAGAAACTATCATCAGAGTGAACAGGCAACCTACAGAATGGGAGAAAATTTTTGCAATCTATCCATCTGACAAAGGGCTAATATCCAGAATCTATAAGGAAATTAAGCACATTTACAAGAAAAAAAAAACCCATAAAAAAGAGGGTGAAGGATATGAACAGACACTTCCCCAAAGAAGCCATCTATGTGGTCAACAAACATATGAAAAAAAGCGTATCATCACTGGTCATTAGAGAAATGCAAATCAAAACCACAATGAGATACCATCTCATGCCAGTTGGAAAGACAATCATTAAAAAGTCAGGAAGCAACAGATGCTGGAGAGGACGTGGAGAAATAGGAACATTTTTACACTGTTGGTGGGAGTGTAAATTAGTTCAACCATTGTGGAAGACAGTGTAGCAATTCCTTAAGGGTTTAGAACCAGATATATCATTTGACCCAGCAATCCCATTATGGGGTATATACCCAAAGGATTATAAATCATTCTACTATAAAGACACATGCACACGTGTATTTATTGCAGCACTATTCACAATAGCAAAGACTTGGAATCAACCCAAATGCCCATCAACGATAGACTGGATAGAGAAAATGTGGCACATATACACCATGGAATACTATGCAGCTGTAAAAAAGGATAAGTTCATGTCCTTTGCAGGGACATGGATGAAGCTGGAAACCATCATTCTCAGCAAACTAACACAGGAACAGAAAATCAAACACCACATGCTCTCACTCACAGGTGGGAGTTGAACAATGAGAACACATGGACACAGGGAGGGGAACATCACACACCGGGGCCTGCTGGGGAATGGGAGGACTAGGGGAGGGATAGCATTAGGAGACATACCTAATGTAGATGATGGGTTAATGGGTGTGGCAAACCACCATGGCATGTGTATACCTATGTAACAAACCTGCACGTTCTGCACATGTATCCCAGAACTGAAAGTATTAAAAAAAAAATCTATGTAAAGAGGCAGACAAAAAGAAAGGCAGGAAATTTTTATTTATAGAGTGCCTATGAGGAACAATGCATCATGCTGGGTATTTTCAATATTCTACTTCTTTTAGGATACGTCAAATGAAATCTGCAATACCTTTGGTCTCTTTTGTCTAGACTCAACTGAGAAAGTGTTTAGAGATATATCTGACCAAAGGAATCAAGAGGGGAATGAAATCAACCTTTCTGTGGTGGCTGCTTGTCCAACTTTTCTCCTACAGGGTTAATTTTTGTGCCTTCACCTGGCTGTAATTCCTACATACCCAAGGTCGCTATAAATAATGAAATATTTAAATCTAGTCAGCCTCAGAATGGTGTTCTGGACACGACCTCGCAATGAGTTTAACTGCTCAGCTCTGGTTAAGTAAAGATTACGCTTAAGCCTTAATTCAATTTCTGATAGCTAAATGTAGACACACAGGAAACAGGAAATAAATTCATACCACACATGCCTCAGTGACTTTGTCTTGGGGTGATCCCTCAGACTGGGCCTCACTTGCTGGGGCTCCATCTGTGTCTCCTATAGGCCCAAGCTATCCAAATGGTGTTTCAGGAACAGGCACAGATGTGCTGAGCTCTTGGGACTGCCAGGTGGGCCCTGGAGCAGCTGAAGTCGCAGAATCAGCTGCTCCCCATCAGTAGCAGCCTTGTCAGCATACACTGGTGTGTCGCATAGAGCAGTCTATGTGGCACGAGACGTGAAGAAGTTGGAAAGCACGCTACAGTTTCTTATCACTGCTGATCTCCTTTCCCTGAGGAATACTTTCCATGAAGTCCTGGTCCTTGACTAAGTCCCAGACTTAGTCCTTTATTTTTATTTTTGATAGTTGGATTGCAGTGGTGTGATCATAGCTTACTGCAGCTGCCAACTCCTGGGCTCAAGTAGTCCTCCTGCCTTGGCCTCCTCAAGCTTTGGGATTATAGGTGTAAACCACCGCACCCAGCCTTAGTCCTTGACTGTTTGAGGGTGTCAAAGAGAGATCCAATCTGGTAACTTTGTGTGAAGAAATTGGTCTGGGAAAGGCAAGTAAGAAAGAAGTCCTGTGTGGTACCATATTAAAGATAACTTTTGGCTAAAGGTTGATTAAACCAGAGAAAATATTTTCATTTATGATTGCCAAAATTTTCTGTGACATATGCACCAGGAAAGAAAATCAGTTCTCTAAACATTTTTTCCTTAATATATACAAATGCTGCTATGAAAACTGTTAACTGCCTTGTCTTCTGTTTCCTCACCTGTGATAGCTATTGAACTATATGGCCATTCTGGTTATTTCTAATTCTAAAACTCCATGAATCCACATGAAAATGTAAAAATATTGTCTGTATACTAAAAATTTATGTAGAAAAATAGTTTTTTTTACCTAAAACTCTAAGAACCTTGGAAAATAACCTAGGAAATACCATTTGGAACATATGACCTGGCAAATATTTCATGACAAAAGCAACAGCAACAAAAACAAAAATTGACAAAGGGAACTTAATTAAACTAAAGAGCTTCTGCACAGCCATGAAAACTATCAACAGAGTAAACAGACAACCTACAGAACAGGAGAAAATATTCACAAACTATGCATCTGACAAAGGCCTAATATCCAGAATCTATAATGAATTTAAACAAATTAACAAACAAAAAACAAAAAACCCCAATTAAAAAATGGGCAAAGGATATGAACACTTTTCAAAAGATGACATATATGTTGCCAACAGGCATATAAAAGTGCTCAACTTCACTAATCATTAGAGATATACAAATCAAAACCACAGTGAGATACCGTCTCACACTAGTCAGAATGGCTATTATCAAAAAGTCAAAAAAGAACAGATGCTGGTGAGGTTGCAGAGAAAACGGAATGCTTATACACTGCTGGTGGGAATGTAAATGAGTTTAGCCATTGTGGAAAACAGTCTGGCCATTTCTCAAAGAACTCAAAGCAGAATTACCATTCAAGTCAGTAATCTCATTATTGGGTATATACCTAAAGGAACATAAATTATTCTACCCTAAAGACACATGCATGCATATGTTCATTGCAGCACTATTCATGATATCAAAGACATGGAATCAACCTAAATGCCCATCAATGATAGACTGGATAAAGAAAATGTGGTACATATACACTATGGAATACTACGCAGCCATAAAAAAGAAAGAGATTATGTTCTTTGCAACATGGAGGAGCTAGAGGCCATTATCCTAAGTGAAGTAACTCAGGAACAGAAAACCAAATAACACATGTTCTCACTTATCAGTGGGAGCTAGACATTGGGTACATATGAACACAAAGAAGGGAGAAACAGACGCTGGGGCCTACTTGAGGGTGGAGTTGGGGAGGAGGGTGAAGATCGAAAAACTACCTATCAGTTACTATGCTTATTAACTAGTGGCGATATAATCTGTATACAAAGTCTCCATGACATGCAATTTGCCTGTATAACAAACCCGCATGTGTACCCCTGAACCTAAAATGAAAGTTAAAGAAAGAATGGTTTTTAAGTGACACTAGGGTCTTTGAATTGATTGTATTGAATTGGGACAAATGATAACCTAGGAGGAAATAGTGGCTTTCTGCTTACCTGCAGTGAAGTGATCATTATGAAAAGCATTAATATTTTCCGGTAATTTCCTTCTTGAACAATTGTGAGAAATTAAGGGTTCATTTTAATCATTCAGCACCTTGTTTATTACATTATTCATTTGTATTTAGCATCTAAATTAAATGCATGCATTATCACAGGTAAGTGCATTTGTTTTACATCTTGTATGATATACTGTGATATTCGCATTTATAAAACATAAATAGCGATGACACACGTGTTCATTTTCTCCAGCTCAGAAAGGAGCTGGAGCAAATGAAATGGGATCTCAGTGCACAGCCTCGTCTGCTGCCTGCCTGCCTGTAGCAAGACCACCTGCAAAATTGGGAGCCATCATTACTGAGAAGCTTACGGCTGAGTTTAATAAGATTGGCAAGAGCTTATGAGCTTCTGGGAAGGAAACATCCACAGGCAAAAGCCAGACCTTCTCTTCTCACTGGCCAGCATGAAGGATCACAGGGCACTCCATTTAATACAACTGGAAAGGGAGTTCAAGCACTCTGATTTCTTAAGTCTCTGCTCACCATTGCAGGGACATCTCCTTCCAGGCCCTCTTCAGATTCACTAGATACTAAATCTGAGATGATGGGCGCTTCATTTATTTTCCCAACAACTGTTCAACTGGCATGTGTTATGTGCTACGTGCACAGTGATGAGAAAGACAGGGCCCTCTGCTGTAGAACCTCATGGTCAAGTCAAATAGGAGGGGGGGTGGGATCCAGCTGAAAATGCAAATTAAAGTAGTCTCTTGATATGGTTTGGCTCTGTGTCCCCATCCAAATCTCATCTTAAACTGTACTCCCATAATTCCCACGTGTTGTGGGAGGGACCCAGCAGGAGACAATTGAATCATGGGGGCAGTTCTCCATACTGTTCTCATGGTAGTGAATAACTCTCACAAGATCTGATGGTTTGATAAGGGGAAACCCGTTTCACTTGGCTTTCATTCTCTCTTGCAGCCACCATGCCACCTTCCACCATGATTTTGAGGCCTCCCCAGACACGTGGACCTGTAAGTACAATAAACCTCTTTCTTTTGTAACCTGCCCAGTCTCAGGTATGTCTTTACCAGCAGGGTGAAAACAGACTAATATGCTCCTCAAGTCCAGGTTCTGTCATTAGGACATTGTCATCTACGAAAATGGAGAATCAGTGGAAATTGACAGCAAAGGAGGGATGTATTAAAAGCGGATAACTAGGAATGACTGGTTTGCAGGGCCTTAGCTTCCATCTACCGCAGTTTTTTCTCTTTTTCTGTGCCTGGAGTGCAAACAAAGCTGAATAGGGGGTGAGGGAAAAGGTGGGTGTGTAACTTATTGCAGAGGCATAAAATCATAACAATGGCATAAAAGGACGGAGGATAGAGGGCGGCTGCTACTGCCTGGCTTGCCTCCTTGTTAATGTAAATCTGAGGTGATGGATTAGGCAGGGTGTATATGGTTTACATCGAGCTCTGAAAGTGTGCACAGTTCAGGCAGCCGCACATTCCAAAAATCAATCTCAGTAAATCGGAGAAATAAACATCTGTAAGAGAAATTACAAACCAAGCTATGCTCCTTCAGGGCCGGTGCTGGGCAGTCCGTGGGAAATCTCCCAGGTTCATCTGTTGAGGTCATTGGGATGCTCCTCCCCTAACGTTGTGTGAGCTCATCAGTCCCCTGCAGTGAGGAAAGGATGCCTGGCCTCTTGCAGGACTGGGATGGCCAATCCCTGGGAGGCAGTGTAACTTCATCTCTCAGGAGAAGTGAAGAAAGGCGAAGGGACACAGGGATCATACAGGAAACCTGCCTCCAATTAGCTAAAAAGCAGACAGAATTGTCCTTTAGGTTCCCAGTTCCATTGTTGTTGTTTTTCTTTTTCTTTTTTTTTTTTTTGAGACGGAGTCTCGCTCTGTCACCCAGGTGGGAGTGCAGTGGTGTGATCTCGGCTCACTGCAAGCTCTGCCTCCCGGGTTCACGCCGTTCTCCTGCCTCAGCCTCCCGAGTATCTGGGACTACAGGCACGTGCCACCACACCTGGCTAATTTTTTGTATTTTTAGTAGAGACGGGGTTTCACCGTGTTAGCCAGGATGGTCTCGATCTCCTGACCTCGTGATCCGCCCCCCTCGGCCTCCCAAAGTGCTGGGATTATAGGCGTGAGCTACCGCGCCCAGCCCATCGTTGTTGTTTTTCTAATTCAGTTGCTTTAGAAGGGTTTTCTCAGGAGTTTACTCTTTTAAGGCATCATCTGGTCGTGTGCAATGGAGAGAGGCAATCCTCCTACTAAAAGGAAAGAAAAACATTTGTAACACACTGGATTTCCCGTAGCCAGTGGATGTCAGATGGAAGGAGCCTTGGGTTTTGTCACCACCCCAGTTGTCCCCCGATGGATAAAATCTGTGGTCAGGAATATTATCCCAACAGTGAGACACTATTGCTTGCTAAAAAGAGTATTTCACCAAAACCAAAATACTTTTGCATAATGTTTTATTCTTATCTAAGCATGTGTATATCTGGAGTAATCAACTTACCGTTCTGAGCATCAGAAAGAAAAGGTATTTTATAGAGAAGAAAACTGAAGTTGTGATTTTTCCCAGGGGATGCTATATGGTTGTATATGCATACATATTTAATTGTGATAATATATACATAACAAAATCTAGCATTTTCATCATTTTGAAGTGCATAGTTCAGTGGCATTAAGTACATTCACACTGTTGTACAACTGTGACCACTACCCATCTCCAGAACTTTTTCATCATCCCCATCATTTGTTTTGCATTGCTATAAACGAATACCAGAGGCTGGGTAATTTATAAAGAAAAGAAGTTCATTTGGCCCACATTTCTGCAGACTGTACAAGCAAAGCACCAGCATTTGCTTCTGGTGAGGCCTCAGAAGCTTTTACTCATGGCAGAAGACAAAGGGGAAATAGGCATGTCATGTGGCAAGAGAGGGAGACAGAGAGAGAGGGGGAAGGTGCCAGGCTCTTTTAACAACCAGATCTTGTGTGAACTCATAACCACAGAGAGGGCACCACGCTATTCATGAGGGATCCACCCCCATGACCCACAAACCTCCCACCAGGCCCCACCTCTAACACTGTGGGTCACATTTCAACATGTGATTTGGAAGGGACAAATATCCAAACCATATGAATCCCCAACAATTGTTTCCATTGTTTCACAAATATGATCCACAAATAAAAATGAGATTCCATAGTGGAATCTCAACCTGACCATCATTTTCAACAATTCAGGTGCCCAAAGAGTCTTGCCGCCTTTATGCAGGAAGAAAGTGATCATAAAAATGTCTTACCTGAAATTTGGCATTGAGCTCCCGCAACTGCTTCACACTGTGTCCTCCTCTCTCCTCTACCACCCTCTCCAAGAGTGATGGGAAGCAGTAGGGTGCTAAAGAGTTAAAACAAGGAGTGTTGAGATAGGGAAGAAAGAGAGGTATTAAGGAAAGTGGCACCAGACTGGCTTCCTCTGAGTTCCGGGGCTTTGGCACAGCCACTGTGGAAAACAGTATGGCAGTTCCTCAAAAAGTTCAACAGCATTTCTATGTGATTCTGCAATTCAATTTCTGGGCATGTATTCAAAGGAATCAAAAGCAGGAACTTGAAGAGATATCTGTATACCGATATTCACAGCAGCATTATTCACAATAGCCAAAAGGTGGAAGCAGCCCAAGTGTCCACTGACAGGTGAATGGATAAACAAAATGTGTTCTATACATGCAAAGAAATACTATTCAGTGTATCAGTCCATTCTCATGTTGCTAATAAAGACATACCCAAGACTGGGTAATTTATAAAGGAAAGAGGTTTAATTGACTCACAGTTTAGCATGGCTGGGGAGGCCTCAGGAAACTTACAATCATGGTGGAAGGGGAAGCAAACACGTCCTTCTTTGCATGGCAGCAGCAAGAAGTGCCGAGCAAAAGGGGGAAAAGCCCCTTATAAAACCATCAGATATTTTGAGAACTCACTCACTATCATGAGAACAGCAGCAGCATGAGATTCAATTACCTCCCACCGGGTCCCTCCCATGACACGTGGGGATTATGGGAACCACAATTCAAGATGAGATTTGGGTGGGGACACAGCTAAGCCACATCATTCAGCCTTAAAAAGGAGGGAGATTCTGGCACATGGATGAACCTGAAAGATGTTATGCTAAGTGAATAAGCCAGATGTAAAAGAACAAGTATTGTATGATCCCACTTATTTGAAGTACCAAGAATAGGCAAATTCATAAAGATAGAAAGTGGAATCGTGGTTTCCAGGGGCTGTGTGGGGGGTAGGAAGTTTAAGGGAATGGGGAGTTATTGTTTAATGAGTATAGAGTTTCTGTTTGGAATGATATAAAAGTTTTGGAGATGGACGGCAGTGATGTTTGCCCCACAAAGTGAATGTACTTAATGCCAATGAACTGTATACTTAAAAATCATTGAAATGGTAGATTTTATGTTATGTACATATTGCCACAATTTTTAAAATTGTTGGACCATGAACTAAGATCAAATTGGCATAGTTCTGGGGAGAACAAGTTATCCCAAGGTGGCTGCTGTCAGGTTCTACTGCATATTTGTTGCAACTACCATATAAGATTGTGGTTATGTAAATAATGTACACAAAGCACTTAAAACAGTGGCTGGCACATGGTCAGCATTTGATAAATGTCACATTGTTATATCATAATTCTGGGGCCTGTATTAATATTTTTACTTAGTGAACTATATTTAATTCTTTGTACATAAACTCCCATTTCAAAATAAACTGCCTTTTTAAAAATAAATTGCCCTTTTAATAAAAATAAACATGGTTGTTACATGCAATGTAGAAAATCTAGATAAGCAAAAAAGATAAAGTAGAAGTCATCCACAATCTTATTGACCAATCGTAGTCATTATAATATTTTGGTATAAACTCTGAAGTCTCTCTTCTCTGTATGTATTTGGGAAATAGAATTATATAGTACATATTACTTTACGACTTATCTTTTTCAGTTAGGTCATTCATTCAACAATTATTTATTGAGCAGTTACTATGTGTCAGCTTTTCTAGGCAGGAAGAACAGCAAATAAATGGCCCTGAGGCAGACATTTATACTGTGACTCTCTCTCCATGTAGTTATGCATTTAGAAGCTTTTCCTGTTTTATCCCTTTAGTGTCAACATTTTATTCTGCTGTATAGATACAGCATAATTTATTTAACTAATTTCTTATTTGGGGACATCCAAGTTGTTTCCAGTTTTTCTTGTCTCAAACAATATGGCAATGAGATTCTTATTTACAAATCTTTGGTCACACCACTCTTTCACTACTGTTTACTTAGTGACTAGCGGAATGTCTGTCAGCGCTCCCTCAATGTTTGTTGAGTAAGTAAATAACTCTATAATTATTACTTTAAGATAATACTAGAAGTGGAACTGCTAATTCAAATAAAAGCTAATGCTTAATATAGTACCTTGAAGTCTAGCCCTGTTCCAAAAGCTTTACAAATATCAATTCACTTAATCTTCATGATAACTTTTTGAAATATGTGCTATTAGAATACCTATTGTATAAGTGAGGAAACAGGCACAAAGTAGATTGAGTAACTTGGTCAAGGTCACACAGCTAATATGTGGTAGGATGAGCTTTGGAGCTTGTGTTCTCAACCACTGCTCAGTGAATCAAATAATGTATCAGTGGTAAGTCTTGTGGTGTCATGAACTGGATGTGTTTCTCCCAAATTCCTATGTTGAAGCCCTTTCTAGAATGTGACTGAATTTAGAGATAGGGCCTGTGAGGAAGTGGTAAAGTTTAAGTGAGGTCAGAAGGGTGAGGTCCTACTCCAATAGGGCTTGTGCCCTTATACGAAGAGGAACAGACACCAGAGTTCTCTCTTCAATAAGCGAGGATGCAGGAAAAAGGTTGCCATCTGCAAGCCAGGAGGGTGCCCTCACTAGAACCCAAGCATGCTGGCATCCTGATCTCAGACTTCACAGCCTCCAAACTGTGAGAAAATAAATCTCTATTGTTGAAGTCTGTGGTATTTTGTTCTGGCAGCCTGAGTAGACTAATAAAACTAGTGTATTTCCAGATTCTCCTCATCAGGAATGTCATGTGTCACAACACTAATGGGAAATAATGTTTTCGCCTAAAAGTAGATCTACCATTCTATCTAGCAATCCCACTAGTGGGTATTTACCCCAAGGAAAAAAATTATTATATCAAAAAGACTCTTGCACCCATGTGTTTATTGCAGCACAATTCATAATTGCAAAGATATGGAACCAACCTATGTGCATATCAATTGATTAGTGGATTAAAAAGATGTGTGTGTGTGTGTGTGTGTGTGTGTGTGAATATATATATATATCTATATATATATATACCATAAAATACTACGCAGCCATGAAAAAGAACAAAATAATGTCTTTTGCAGCAACTTGAATGGAATTAGAGGACATTATTCTAGGTAAAGTAACTCAGGAATGGAAAAGCAAATACCACATGTTCTCACTTATAAGTAGGAGCTAAGCTATGGGTACACAAAGGCAGACAGAGTGGTATAATGGACATTGGAGACTCAGAGTGGGGAGGGTGGGAGAGGAGAGAGGCATGAAAAACTACCTGTTGGGGTACAATGTGCACTACTTGGGTCACAGGTATACTAAAATCCCAAACTTTACAACTATATAATTCATCCATGTAACCAAAAAACACATGCACCCCTAAGGCTATTGAAATAAAAACATTTAAAAGATTAAAAAATGTATATACATTGAAAAAAATTATATTTTCACTCACATAAGGTTTAATTGGCAGTAGAGAGGGCTCTGTTCCAGGTAGTCATTCAGGGACCCAGGCTTCTTTCACCTGCAGTTCTTCATCTCCAGGGCCCATCCAGAATCCTTCTTTGCATGTATTAATAGTTGCCACTTAGGAGGAAGAGAGTGAGGATGCCAGGTTAGGGCTAAAAGTTGTATGCGTCTTTTCAACCTCATCCCCCTGCCTGAACTCCAGCATGTGGTCATGCCTATTGCCAGTAGAGACTGGGACATACAGATAAGCCGTGAACCCGTAAGATCTTGGAAAGAACTTAGTAGCCTAGGCCATGGTCCACTCTTCTGATCACTGTTATTCACTTTCCTTTTCCACTTGGAAAAAATTTAACCTCCCCATGGGCAACGACAAAAAAGACCCCCACCCAATCACGGAAGTTCATGATCTCTGGATAATCAGCACTCCTCTCTGTCAGGCCCCTATGCTGCTTCTCATCATCCAACAGCCTACGAATTTAAAACACAGGTTATCTGCCTCCACCCTTCCCAATATACAATTGTGGGTCAGACATAAAATAACAATAACATTCCCATTCAGAAGAGGGAAGAATGGGAAACCGGGCAGCTACTTGTTCATAGCGATTTTGAAATTGTGCTAGATGGTCTTCCTAACCTGGGAGCAAGAAAAATTCCTTGATTAGAGCAGATTCTGTTCAATGGAAGGAATTCCTGTGTCTATTTTTCTTCATGGCAACATCTGAAATAGGTAATGATGAGTTTGTGTTACGTGGGGTTGTTTTAAAATAGAGTGCATTAATGTTTTAAAAAATAAAGTATAGTAAGGCCAACATATCACAAAATGGTTACCATTGAAAAAACAGTGTGTTATTCAGTTCCTGAGAGGCGGCGGGGGGGTACCATGCAGGGTGGGGGATGGAGATATATGGAAACAACAGGGTCAGTCAGGAGACAGAGGGAGGTGGGGAACTGTGGGGAAGAGCTTTTATTTTGATTTCCGCAGGAAGAAACTGGCAAGGTAAGGTAAGCAGGCTTAGGATTGGCTAGTTTGAATGATTTCAGTGGACTCTGGTGCATAAGGGCCGGCCTTACTTGTCTGGCATCTGGCCAAGGCACGAGGATAGTGCCCTAGAGTGTGAGAACCCTGTAGGGGAAGTGGTTGGGAGTATGAGCTCTGGATTGATTGCTTTGCATATGAAAGGTACACTCAGTCTCTCTCTCTCTCTCTCTCTCTCTCTCTGAATTGGTTAACCTGGGAGGGGCGGTCCCTCCAGAGTCAGCAAAGCCCAAAGTTGTTAAAGCATCAAAATACAGAAAATAATAAAACATTATTAAGGCCAGGCATGGTGGCTCATGCCTGTAATACCAGCACTTTGGGAGGCCAAGGTGGGTAGATCACCTGAGGTCAGGAGTTCAAGACCAGCCTGGCCAACATGGCGAAACCCCGTCTCTACTAAAAATACAAAAATTAGCTGGGTGTGGTCGCAGGTGCCTGTAATCCCAGCTACTTCAGAGGCTGACGCAGGAGAATTACTTGAACCCGGGAGGTGGAGGTTGCAGTGATCGTGCCATTGCATTCCAGTCTAGGGGACAAGAGTGAGGCTTTGTCTCAAAAAAAATCCACAAAAACAAAAAAAAAACCAAACGTGATTAATACAGGGAACTCCCCAACTTTTTTTTTTTTTTTTTTTTTTGAGATGGAGTCTTGCTCTGTCACCCAGGCTGGAATGCAGTGGTGAGATCTCGGCTCACTGCAACCTCAGCCTCCCGGATTCAAGTGATTCTCCTGCCTCAGCCTCCCGAATAGCTGGAAATACAGGTGCGCACCAACCACACCCAGCTAATTTTTGTATATTTTTAGTAGAGACGGGGTTTCACCATGTTGGCCAGGATGGTCTCTGTCTCCTGACCTGTGATCTGCCTGCCTCAGCCTCCCAAAGTCCTGGGATTACAGGCGTGAGCCACTGTGCCCGGCCAGGAACTCCCTAACTCTTATAATCTACTTGCTGCTCACACAAATTTGGAGACACAAGTATTGTTTTAATCTCAACAGATGAAAGGCCTCTATGGTCTTTTTGTTTCCAAGGCAGAATAGTTCCCTTGAATATTTAATAGCTTCTGATGGTCTTCTTCCAGCTGGTCCCACACGTGGCAGCCTCACGGAGGGGCTCCCTGAGGCAGGACCCTCATGCCTGCCTTTTCCCTGTGCATCCTCACCACAGCTTCCCTCTTGCAAGTTGATGGTGACTGTCTATGAGCAACTTTAAAAAAAAAAAAAAAAAAAAGGCCTTTGACACGAGCCAAATCACTTTGTTTAACTGAGAAGGTTGACTAGACCTTTCCAGTCTTAACAATTGTTATTTGGGGTCCTGAAGTCCTCAATTTTTCCACCTTTGAGGTCTTTTATTTGTGGACTTTCTCATTTTTTCTATCTCCTCTAAAAAGAAAAAACAGTCAGTTGTTGTCAGAGGTCATCTCTCTTGTGTGATCTGAGAGACCACAGTGAATACCACCTTATCAACTAAGATGGATGCCATGGTTTAGAAGACAAAAGTTACCTGCAGGTCAAGGGTTCAGGGCCCGGCTGGTATGGCGTATTTCTAAATTTCTATGACTACAAGAAAAACCACACTCTCAATACATTCCCTAACAACAGGAGTTATCAGATCCCTCCTAACCCAGCTTTACAACCCAGGCCACTACAACTCTTGGCAGGGGACTGGCCTTACAAACACTCTTTTCTGATAAGCACCTGCAGACTTCATGCCTGTTTCAGCAGCTTATAGAGGCTGCACAGTCTTTGTGTCCTACAGTTCAACTCTTGATGTAAAGGAGCCAAATTCCACTTCATTTTAATGCTAAAACCCTGCCCCAAAGTGAACATGGGATGTATATTACATTTATGTTTACCTATTGTGCATCAGCTTGGCTCCGCTCATAAATATATATAGCTTTTCCCCCAAACCTGCTGAATATGTATGACGGTATTGTGTAATACAGACCCTGTGAGGCATAAAAACCAACCTGCCCCTCCCCTCCTAAAAGAGAGAGCACCTCCAGTTCATACCAGAGATTCTGTCTTCCCAGCTTGTGAACTGATATGGCCGATAAAGCTCCTCTTTCTACTATTAAGCCATCCTGGTGGTCTTTTGGATGACATTTGTATTACCTTATTAAAGGCATCTGTAGATTTAGTTGATCACTTTAGCTCCTACCACCACTTTTCCTGGAGCTATGGGCTTAGGAGGCCTTGAGGGGGTCTCCCTTCTAAGACATTCAAGGTAACAGGTTTGCCACTTATTTGCCATGACTTAACAGGGCTTTCTAGCCATCCAGCCTGCTCGATCTATTTCCCCACACACCTGTCACCCAACCACTAAGCTACTGTCACATATTTAAGTGTTTTTTATGGCAGCACCTCACTTTAAGCCATCAATTTTTGAAAACCTCTGACGGCAGTGCTCGCAGCTGACATAACAGATAAACCTCCACTTTCAGTGGTTTAACACAAAAGAATTTTATTTCTTGTTCATGAAGAACAAATTGGTAATAGAGTGGTGAGGGGGGCTTGCTCTATTCAAACTTTTTCTATCATGGCTTCGTAGGGCCTTGCGGTCCTCTTCTGGGTCCTCTGCCACTGATCAACCAACAGAGAAGGAGGCGCAGAGGGTCCCATGCCTGGCATGTATGGGCAGGCCTAGAGTGGTGGGCTTCACTTCTACTCACATCCCTTTGGCCAAAACTCAGTTGCCTGGCCACATCTCTCTTAAAGCAAACCTGTGAAATGTAGTAGCTGAAAGCCCATTGAGGGACCCAGCAGCCCTGAGTCCCAAAGAGCAATGCATGCAGAGTGGATTCATTCTTCCCTCAAATCTTCACCAACATCAAGTACCATTTAAAATAAAATCTTTGATGCGTTAAAGTGGTATTTCATATGTTTCTATTTGCATTTTCTTTGATTTCTTTATGAGCTTCAACATGTTTTCATCCATTTACTGGTCAGTTTTATGTCTTCATTTATGAGTTACTTGTTTCTGTTTTGTATTCCTTTTTCCACTACGGAATTCTTATTTTATTAATCTATTTATAGGCAGGTTTTGTATATTAAAGATATTAAACTTTGCCTCTAGGAATAAGATTTTCTTTCAGTTCGCTATTTTTTTTTTTCACAGAAACATTTAATTCTCTTGGAATTTATATTGGTACGTGATATAAAGTAGGGAATCTAATTTTTCCCCAAATGCTTAGGCTTTCTCTCCCAAATCTTAGCATCATTTATTGAAAAATTCATTTTGCCCTCAAAAGACTAATTGCTAAATATATGGCTTTCATCACCGAGGACCAAGTGATACAAGCAAACTGATGCAGTCAGCTACCCATGCTGAAATTCTGCCTGAAAACATTCCCTGAAAGCCCTGGTTGACACTGTCATTTTAGATTTCAAAAAATAAGATATTACTGGACAGCACCTGCAATTCTGTTGAGAAGTGATGTCCATGCCCAGATAACCAACCTGGAGCTGCTTAAAGGGGGAGCCCCAGGATACACCCATCATCCACAATCTCTGCTGTGATCCATACTCCAGGCATCATTTCTCAAGCTTGACGCCATCTGCTATGAGTCTCTCAGCTACTGACCAATAGCCCATTTGCTCTTGTACTGCCAGTTTTGGTTTGTTGCTTACTGTTGACTTTCTCATCAAAACCTTCGCTCCCCTTGGTAAGAATTGTATTTTCCCCCCGATTTGTGAATCTTGTTGATTTAGCTTGTCCCCAAGATGTTCCCACTTTGGCCAGATGGCTCTCTTACTCAGTTCTTCCTTCTCCCCTAAAAGGAAGTCGATGACATTTTTTCCACTACTTTCTTCATTTACCCTACTATCAGAACTTCTATGTCATAGGAACAGAGAATGTTAGAGCTTTAAGAGATCTTGGAGACTATAAATTCCTGCCCCTCATTTAGCAGATGGGGAAACTAAGATGACTTAGTTCAGAGCTACAGATGTAATTATTGGTAGAGCCACAATTCATACCTAGACTCTTACCTCTTAGTTCAGCGTTCTTTCTGAATCCCTATCATAATCCATATCCTGAATTGTCTCTTTGGTACAGGAACCTAGCTGAACCAGCAGGAGATGCTGTGTAAACATCTGAGTGCCACTCTTATGACCAAATACTCCTACTTAATGAGAATTGCTCATATAAAGAAGGCAATATGCATTAGAATATAATCAATACATGTATCTAAAAAGGGAAACTACAGTGGCAATACTAGGATTCTCCTCCATGATTACATTATAGATCTTTTAGATCAAGGAGAGACAGTTGGGAAGAAAGGATCAAAATTCAATGCTTATGAAATATAAATGAGATGATTTATAAATTCATTACATGCCATACATGTTGAATATCATTAACATTTTACTTTATCATACAAATAAATGCACCAGCTCAACAATTTATGAACAGAAATCCAATTAGCTTTTCTACCCTCTTACTCGGAACATTATATTAGAAGCCCTTGGGGAATCTTCGTAGATGTGCAAATGAGAAGGTGAAAATTTTTCTTTCTGCTCTGAGGAGCATGTAATCCCAGGCATGTTTCCAGTGGTGGTTTAAGAGAGTCAGCTGGAGGGGGCCATTGGTAAGTGTCATCTGGTGTCACTGCAGACAGCGGTGCAGAGCAAGCTGACATCATAGTACATGCATGTGAGTCCAGGGAGCTACATGTCTCTTTGCTTGAGTGTGTCTCTGACACTCCCATTTTTGGTGTAATGTCGAGCTTCTTTGCTTATAAATATTGTGAATAGGCTGGGCACAGTGGTTCACGCCTGTAATCCAAGCACTTTGGGAGGCCGAAGCTGGCGGATCACAAGGTCAGCAGTTCGAGACCAGCCTGGCCAATGGGGTGAAACCCCGTCTCTACCAAAAATAAAAAAATTAGCCTGGCATGGTGGCGGGCACCTGTAGTCCCAGCTAGTTGGGAGGCTGAGGCAGGAGAATCACTTGAACCCTGGAGGCGGAGGTTGCAGTGAGCCGAGATCATGCCAGTGCACTCCAGCCTGGGTGACAGAGTGAGACTCTGTCTCAGAAAAAAAAAAAAAAAAATTGTGAATATATTTTCTGAATCGTGGTCAGGGTATATTATACAAAAGCTTCCTTGGTTTCATACCATTGGCCACTATTAAGATGTAGGGTTTTAGAAGTCGTGATGACCAGCATGGAGGGCATATGTAAGTAGGTGAGAAAGAGTCAGAAGACATTCGCGACAATGGCCAACATCGTTGAGGGTGGTTTTTCATAGAAGCCCACAAGAAATAACATGCAGGGGAAGTAATTTAACTTAGTAGGAAGAAAATATCTCTCAAGGGCCCAGAGACTAGGTCCAGAGAAAAGCTGAAGAGTGTTGCCAGGATATTAGCATTAAGTCAAAAGAGAAACAAAAAAGGAACTATCTAAGAATGGAACCAGCGATTTCTCTCTTTTCCTCTGCTGACTTCGTGATTGTCACATAGTATTTTCTCTAAATTAAACATCTGAGTTCTATGTTAAAAGCGTTCCTAAAACACTTTCTTATATGGTAGTTATAGCCGGTCCAGAAATTACAGATGTAATTTTCTCACATTTTTAAGACTAGAAGTTCTTGGACTTGCTCATAAAGACAGCATCAGAATATAGTAACGATCAATGACCTACAGATACAGTCAGCCCAGATAATAAATAACCAGGCTAAAAGAGTCTGAAAGCTGCTGCTCAGGAAGCTGGGCAGGAAATTGCAGTCGGAGGTTACAGTCCTCCCTTTTTTCAACCAAGCTGAACCAGCAACATTTCCACGTGAAACAGGTCTGCTCAAGTCTCCCTGGTCCCAGACAATATCAGAAGCAAAATAAGAAACACAATTTGTAGAGAAGGAAATGTAACAAAAAGATTCAGTTTCCAGAAGGTGCTATTTCTTTGGAAGGTGCTACCATGGGGAGCAATATAGCTATGTTGGCATGACATGGGCCCATGGGGAGCATCCTGCCTATGGAAGGTTGATGGGCTAAGTACACTGGCCTCAGTAGGACTTGGGTTGTTCATGGCTCCAGGTTGCAACAGGAATAAAAAATGCTGGATTTAGTATATGTGGCTATTACATATGCATAAGTAATATTACATATTACTCGTGCGTATAAAGTACACAATTTGCATGATCAAGTAAACTTTATCAAAGATAACAGATAGACTAAAGATTCAAAATTCAGAGATGATTAATCATTTCATAAAGAGCTCTCATTTTTCAATAGGTGTCATTACAGGCTTTCTTTAAATAGCAGTATCCCTTTGTGCATTTAAAAATGGTATCCGTGTATATTTATTTATTTATTTATTTATTAACATTTACATTTATCTTTTTTTTTTTTTTTTTTTTTTTTTTTTTTTTTTTTTTTTTTTTTACTTTTAGAGACAGGGTCTCACTCTGTTACTCAGGCTGAAGTATATTGGTGCAATCATAGCTCACTGCAGCCTCAAACTCCTGGGCTCAAGCAATCCTACCACCTCAGCCTCCCGAGTAGCTAGGACTACAGACATGTGCCACCACACCTGGCTGATTTTTTCACATTTTTTGTAGAGACAAGGTCTTGCTATGTTGCCCAAGCTGGTCTGGTGTAACTCCTGAACCTCAAGAGATCCTCCTGCCTCAGCCTCCCAAAGTGCTGGGATTACAGGCATGAGCCACTATGCTTGGCCACATTTATATTTATCAACAACCTTTCAAGAGTACATCTATTACATATAATAATTTTCATCAGTAAATAACCTCCAGTGTGTATATAGTTTTACATGCACACCCAATTATGTTTTAGCAAAATTAATTCCATAATGTATAACCAAATAAATGTATTACCTCACCCAGTAATTTTTAGTGATAATATGTAGGGATTTATACAAATGAGATTATCTCACTGCCACCTCCTCCCCTTGTAAGATCAGTAATGAGATCATTGCAATATACAGTAGGATTTAATAGAGATATTAAGTCAGACTTCTTTGTGTTCCTAATATATGTACATGTGGCCCTTGGCTAGAATGCCACAACCCTTGCCCTGGGTCGAGCCCTAAGTAATGCTATCATCTGGGTAGGATCAACCCAACTCATAAGCAACTGTCTCTAATGTGACTTAAGAGCTTATCAACAGGCTCACAGTTCCTAAACCATCTCCGTTACCTTGCCATAGACTCTGAACTACCACCATGAATTATTTCTCTAGATTAAGACTTTATCACGTCAGAGCCTTGCTAACACTGGCACATTACCCCATTCACTGTTTAGCATAATTCAGTTTGCATTCCATAGCAAGCTTGGCCCTAAGAGGGTAAGATGGGAGAAAGGCTCATCCCAGAGTGCTGGGCAGGGATATGAAGGGGAGACCTGAGGAAGGGAAAGGTGTGGGAGGGAATGGTTGGATAAAGCAGAACAACACATGCGCTTGCGTAAAGAGGAGAAAAGCGGGAACCAAAAGGAGGCAGGAAACAGAAGCTATGCAAATCCCTGACTTGGAACAGGTCCAGGTCCTCGGCAGTGGCTGTCAATGGTGGGTATACCTTTAATGGCATGGATGCAGAAACTGTTACGGGATCCTTCTGATCACACTGTTCTGTGAATTGTTCAGATAGAGATACACTTAAAATGCAAACAGATATAGTTACCAGCATTTGTCTTCACTAGTTTGGTCTTTTTGGCAGGGGAAGGGGAGATGAAGCCACTTTTAAAAAGTGGCTTTTAAAAAGTTGATTCAAATAAATACAATGATTGTTTAGCCTTTTCAGCATTGACACGACCCTCACTGCGTGTGTCCTGATCTTCCCCAGTAATTGATATCAAACTGAACAAGTGGGATCACTATTTCTTTTGACCCCCTCCTTTTCTCTCCTTTTAATGTTTCCACCAAAAATACTGGGCATCTTCTTTCAGAACCATCTCTAACTTTATTTATTTAAAATAACAATAATAGCTCCATGATGCCGTTTTCAGACACTATTCTAAATGTACAGTAGATCCTAATCAATTCCTCATATCCCCCAAGGGGCATGTCTACACCTGTTCAGGGTGGCACTTAGATGTTCCGAGGGGTCGTGCTTCTGCTTGTGCCAGGAGTTATTTTCAGAAGGTTTCTATCGCTTCCTCATTGTCTGTATTTTTCTTTTCATTTCTATTGCGGAAGACAGGTTTGAAGAATGAGTTCAATATCTCGGCCATTTCAGACCCATCATTAATTTCATGCCCAGCCTGATTTATTTGTGGACCCGTTTTCACTTCAGTATCTCTTTTCCCCGGGTGTATTAGTCAAAAGCTCTTCTATTATTTTAACCCTGTTTACTAGAATTATCTTTGCCACTACCTTGCGAGTCACACATGTTTTTTTTCTGTTCATAATTCTCTTCTCTCTACATCTCAGCATGGATTTTCCTACTAGAAAATCTACACAAAATCATTTCCCAAATCACAGCAGGTATTTCAAGGGTCTTTATGTTTTCTCTCCTTGGTGGAATTGTGATCTTTCTGACCTTAATTATTCTAGTAGACAGTTTGGTCTTCCTTGCAGGCTTTGGTTGCTTCCTTTGCTTGTCAGAAAGGTGGCAGATCCCTGCTTCGAATCTCTTCTCCTGGGAGAGAGTTGGACCTGTGGATACTGCCTATGCCACCTGCTCTCTTGGGACAGCCAGCAATCTTGAGAAGTCAGGCCCGGCTTGATGGATGTCAGAACAGCAGGGTGACTCTGCCCTGAAGATCGCTGTGGAGCGTCTTCCTTCCAACCCTGGAACGAAGAGGCCTTAACAGCGGGGGTGCTTGTCTCTTGTGTTCTCTGGCCCCTTTCTTTCCCACCATCTATAAAGATACAGAAGCCACAACTGTTACAAAGACCCAATTTAACTTCGGGGTCCCTAAGGCAAAATCAAGACAAAATGGAGAGAAGTGTCGATAAAATCTATCATCAGCCTTTTCCCTTGTCCCTCTCAAAGCATCTCCTGCTCCCGGGCATCCAGCATCTTGTTCTGGTCCCCTAAGTGTCTGGTCATAACTTTCCGTAAGCACACTGCCCAGGTCTGCCCTCCCAGAATGTGCTCCTCCTTTGGGATATCTTTACCCTGCCACGATTACTATCTTAGAAGGAGCTGAGCTTGATTGCTTCTCAGAAGAGACTGGCCAGCTCACAATGACACTGCTTGGGGGCTCTGAGCCTCCTCCAATGCTTCTTAAAAAATAACGGTGTCTTCTGTTACCCCTCCTACCCCCTAGGAAATAACCCTGGTCAAATAGTGGGCTGTTGGCTGGACACTGTGAGCTCAAGCCTGTAATCCCAGCACTTTGGGAGGCCGAGGTAGGAGGATCACTTGAAGCCAGGAGTTCTAGACCAGCCTGGCCAACATAGTGAGACCCCATCTCTACAAAAACCTTTAAAAATTAGCTGGGTGTGGTGGGCAATACCTCTAGTCTTAGCAGCAGTATGGTTTGAGCCTGGGAGGTTGAGGCTGCAGTAAGTTATGATGACACCACTGCACTCCAGCCTGGGCAACAGAGCAAGACCCTGTCTCTAAAAACAACAACAAAAAATAGTTGACTCAATTTATTCAACAGCCTAAGTTGAAAGATACAATTGAAGTATCAGCAATAGGGCAGATTTGGTGGGAGGTGGAAAAGAGAGGGAATTCACACACTGAAATGATTACAAAAGAGAAAATGGGGAGTTGGGAAAGATTAAAATTAGCAGTGAGGGGGATGATGTAGCAGGAGCAATGTTTCTTGCATTACAGATTGTCAGAGAAAAACAGGTGTCCTCAGCCTTTGTCCCCCAGAGTCGAGAAGGGGGCTTCCCCCGGCAGCTGGTCCTCCTCCTTCCACCCAAGGCCTCTCACCCTCTTGGGAGTATGAATGGGCCACCATCTCCTCCAGTCCTGTACTTCCACTGCTCTCCATCCCCCTCAGTTTCAGGACTGGCCCCAAGGAAAGCTTCCTTTTGCTCCTGATATGGTTTGGCTGTGTCCCCACCCAAATCTCATCTTAAATTGTGACTCCCGTAATTGCCACGTGTTGTGGAAGGAACCCAGTGCGAGATAATCGAATCGTACGGGTGGTTTCACCCATATCTTCTCCTGGTACTGAGTAAGTCTCACGTGATCTGATGGTTTTATAAGGGGAAACCCCTTCGCTTGGTTCTCATTCTATCTTCCTGCTGGCAGGTAAGATGTGCCTTTTGCCTTCCACCATGATTGTGAGGCCTCCCCAGCCACGTGGAACTGTGAGTCCTTTAAACCTCTTTTTCTTCATAAATTACCCAGTCTCGGGTATGTCTTTATCAGCAGCATGACAATTGACTAATACAGCTCCTCTTTCAAAAGCCTGGGGAGAGCTGTGGTTTGCTCCAGAGCATCAGAGCAACCTGTGTGGGCCCTGGGGACCTTTCCAGCTAGACATGGGCTGAGCACTCCAGATCCATCACCTCATTTAATCCTCACAAAAGCTGGCAATAAAGATGATGACATGAGGTGTACAGGTTTGGGTGATTTGCCCAAGATCCAACAGCTGGTAAAGGGTTAACCATTGTGTGTGCATCCTGAGTGTGGGGTTCCAACAAACCTGTCTCCCTTCTCCTTTGGTGTGTTTGGCATGATGTCATCAGGGCAGGAGATGGGGCTCTGGGGGTTGTGCGCAGCACTGGGTCCCTATCCATGTTTCACACCAACTAGAAATCATTTTATTATTCATTCCACCTAAAGGGATTGACATGACTTTTCTGAGACAATAACTACTGAAGGTGGAAAAAAAGAACTGATGTCTTGCAATCATAGGCCTACGAGCCTGAGATTGTTACATAAACAGAGAGGAACTTTGATATTCTTTTCAAAGAAGGCTACCACAGAACTCATAAGAAGAGTGATACCCATGTGTTGCTGAAACTGCCTCTGCAAAGATGATGTCAGTGAGAGAACTGTAGCATGGCTGACTCCATCTTGCTTCCAGCCTCACACACTGCCTGTCTTCACTCATTCCTGGGCATAAGCCGATCCAACCATGGAGGAATTTAGTTTATAATTTAATTTTGAAGCAAAGGTGAAAATAGTCCTTCCCTAAAGCTGCTCCCGCCCTTGTTTGGGAGCCAAAATCGCCTATGTAAGATGAAAAAAAGGTCACAAGACTAGAATTATGGGAGAGGCCTGAATTCTGCTAAAACGTAGGCATAGTTTCTATAAACCCTTATTGCTCAGGAGTCATGTGGCCAGAGGTCTGCTCCTATAGATCACATTAGTATTGTAGAACCTAAGATTGATCTTTTGAGATGTTTTTCAGACCTTTGCATTCTGACAACTGACTGGTCCTACCTGTATTCATTGAGTTGACTCATGAGTCAACCAGTTCTGTGGCCCCCATCCAGAGGCAGACTCAGCACATGAAGGCTGTTTTCCACACCCCTATGATTGCATTCCCAGCCAGTCAGAAGCATCCATTCCCTAGTCCCCTGCCCACCAAACTATCCTTGAAACACCTTAACATCTGAGCCTTCGGGGAAACTGATTTGAGTGATAACTCCTGTTCATCCACATGGCTGGCCTTGGATTAAATAAACTCTTTCTTGACGGCAATACCACATTCTCAGTGAACTTTTTCTTTCTGTGCAGTGGGCAGGAAAAATCTGTCAAGTGATTACACTACAAGCCTCCTAAGTGCCAGGCACTGTGCCTGTGCTAACTGGGATCCTCAGGATAATTTTGCCAGGGAATGATTGCCTGCCACACAGCTGACTGAGCCTAGGTGCAGGGAGGTTACATGCCTTGTCAAGGCCACACAGCTAGGAGGAAGCTGAGCCTGGATTCAGGCTGGGCGAGTTTGAATCCAGGTATCCAACATTCCTGCTTCCCAAACACACACTTTATAGCTGTTGAAGTAGCAAGAATGCGTTCAGGAACTCATCATAGGAGACATGCCCAGACTGTGCACAGTTGTCCAAGAATTAGAGTGAAGAGGAAGAGTCATGGGTGAGGGTGGGAGCCAGAGTGGAAGGAAAGGGAGGAAGATTCTTCTAAAACAGATAAAGAAGGGGATGTGCCTGCTGGGCAGCTGTCTGATGGCACAAAACTGTCACCAATATCTACCTGGCTAACTCAGGTCCCCCAAACCCTTCCTCACCTTACTGTGTGGGTATAAATGACTGTTACTCTGACCTTGGTGGGTAAGACCTGGAGTACGTAAACAAACAAACAAAACAAGCAGATAAAACAACAGAGAGAGAAAGAAAGAGAAAAGGGAGGGAGGGAGGGAGGGAAGAAGGAAGGAAGGAAGGAAGAAAGGAAAGAAGGAAGAAAGGAAGAAGGAAGGAAGGAAGGAAGAAGAGTCCATTCGTTTTTCTCACTTAGGTAGAATTTCCATCCTTCTCTGAGCATTAGTTGTGTTCACGTGCATTTACATATGCTAAAAGCTGACAGCTGAGGCCAGTAGAAATTTTGGAAACAAAGTACAATGTGGTGCTATGAATTAAGAATGAGTTTTGTTGTTTATATTTCAAATTATTGGATATGCCTCCTAAGAGTTACCTCCTTTAAGAAACTACAGGAAAGATATCTTAAGAGAAGGAGAATTATTGAAAATAATGGAGCATGTTTTACTAGATATTTTGATTTAAAAATTTTTTTGGACATGAATTGCTTGGCCAATGAAAAGGAATAATAAAGGAAATCTGTTTGTCATTTCTGTCTGGCCCTAGTAAGTTTTCATTGTGCAAACATTTAAAGTGCCTTATTTTGATGGCATGTCAAGTTACAAGCTCGCCAGAGGTGCCCACATGCCTGGTCTGGCCCTGGTTTCAAGTAGCAATTTGAGCCAGCACTGCAAATCCAGCTGGATGACAGAGGTGAGTCCAGGAAAGATCAGGACAAGGCCAAAGAAACAGCCAAACTCTCCCAGGAGGGGCTGGAGGCTTCGATCAATTGTCATTGTCTCCTGTCCCTCTTCCAGCAAAGCTATGGCTGTTTCCTGGCAGCCCTGCCCTGAAGGACTCATCTCACTGTGTCCTTTGTGAGGCCAAGTCCCCTGCGATGCTCTGCCTTCTCCCCAGCAAGGGAGGGTAAACAGGGAACTCCTCCCAGGGAAAGGCTGCTGGCCAGAAGAGATAGGCATTTCCTTAGCAGGATGAAGGTCTGTTGCTCAAACAGACTTGCTGTTTGAGCAGGTGGAGAGGAGATGTGAGGCAAAAGGCAGAGCAGAGAAAGGAGGCATGGCTGGGACCGCCGGTGCTCCCACAGATGGGCATGGCCAAGTGTGGGCCACGTGGCTGCTGCAGAGGTTGCTGGTTTGGCTGACTCACCAGTGTGCCTTTGGAGAAGGCTGCTGTGGGAGCGAGGACCCCAGGAGCAACAGGCTGTGGGGGCAATGCCGAGGGTGGGAGCAGAGGGGTTTGGAAGTGGGGGAGGTAACGTGGATCTTCCTTGTGTGCTCCATAAGCTGGCCAGCACCTGCCCCCCAACCCTCAGGCAAGCTGTCCTGGCCAGAGACAGGGTGGAGGCAGCCAGATATACAAGGGAGAACAGTCCTTTTTCAAATCCTTTGTTCCCAAGCAAATTGGAAGGAAGGAGGGACCTGGAAGAGAGAGGTGGGTAGGAGAGGAGAGCAACCTCTTTTGCTCTTTGTACCAAGGCTTCCTGGCTACAGCCTGGCCCGTGGGAGGGTGGGGGAGGGAGGGGAATTTGTCATTCGAATGGATGTGAAATAAATAGATACTTGAAATGGGCCTTGGCTGTTTCAGTTACTGAAAGTGAGTGGAATGTTATAAAATCTGCCCCAAATGTCATTCAGTGATGGGAAAGGGCATAGTTGAAGGGAGTGAATAAGAACAAAAAAAAAGTCACATTTGAATTCCTACTGAATTCAAACACCTCAATGAACTGGCTGCCTGTGTCCTACAGGGTCTGTTCCTGAGGGCAGAGCTGTATCCAGGCCAGTTAGAGGCAAAGCCAGGAGGGCTGGGGATATTGCAGCAGCACATACATGACCGAGGCCAGGGCTCAGGTCCTTGGGCTGCAGCGCCAGAAAAGATGAAGATGCTGGGAAGGGGAAGTGTGGGGGTTCAGTGTGGAGCAAATGCGTGAGGCACATCCTGGTGGGAAACAGTGGGAGAATAGAACAGCCAGGTGAACTGATCTCTGGGCTCAGACCAAGGCTGTGCACCTGAATTTCTGCTGAAGATCCAGAAATCAGCCCCCAAAGGAATCTGGATCCATTTTCAAGGTGCAGCCTTGCTTTCAACTTCAGCAAATGATGATAGCAAGGTCTAAATCCTAATTAACAACAGCAGCTTACCTTTTTTGCAGGATCCCCATTCATTGTCATCATCCCCAGTTTACTGATGAAGACACTGTGGCCTACAAAGTGTGGCAGCTAGGTTACTTTCCACCAGAATTTGTCCCCACTTTCTAGAAGAGAGTTCTCAGTTGCTCTGACAAGCAGCTGCCTGTCCAAGGACTACGCTTCCCAGCTTTCCTTGCATCCTTCTCCACTTTCTCTCACCTCATCTCTTCGCTGGATGCTGAGGATGCAGAGGCCCTCATGGGTGGTGGGGCCACAAGACCAGAGAGACTGGTTCCCCAAATCAGGGTGTAGAGGGAAGCTGTCCTCCAACCAGGAGCATTTGGATTAAAATGAAAATGCAGATAAAAAGTAAACTTCTATTATGCCAAGCTACCAAGATTTTGAAGTTCATTTGTTACAGCAGGCAGAATTATCCCAACTAGCACAGAGAAATGGAATAAGTTTGACGAGCCAGCCAGGGAGTGGGAAGACTGGAGATAAACTCAGATCTGCCCAACTCCAGAGGAACACCCAGGCCAATCAGGTGCACAACCTGCCAATGCAGGTCTCATATATGAGGGGCTCCCCCTGCCCATAGAGCCTGCGTGTCTGTTTTCGCACCTAATGCTATTGTAATGGGGCGAATGTGGGCTGGCCCAAGGAGTGGACACAGGATAACTATTCTGAGTCTGTGGGTTCCCCTCTGGGGTCAGCATCCAAGCTGTGGGACATTATGCTGAAACTTCATACCAACCCCACTTCCAGGTGGGACCAGACAGGACCAGACAGGAGGTCCATTGAGGTGTGGCCAGCAGACAATGTCTGTTTATTTTTGTTTTTTGGGGTTTTTTCTTTGTTTGTTTGTTTGTTTGTTTGTTTTGGATCGAAACATAGATGGGGCGGTCTTCCTAGAAAGGTACCTGTTCACTGGATTGTCCATGCTAACTCAAGGACCCTGGAGTAGGAACTGGAAATGGGTGAAGAAGTTCCACATATAGACTCCAGCAGAGCTTGGGAGCCATCCCGAGGGCTTCAGCTTCTGCTGTTTGACGTGGAATTGACTTGACAGTAACAGTGATAACAGCAGCTGACGTTTATCCAGGGCTTCCAGGGTTCCAGGCACTGAGCTCACACTGTACCATCTCGTGTCATCCCCGCAGCAGTCTCACGAGCGAGGGTCTTCTGCCAAGTTCACTCTGTCAATGAGAAAATGAGGATGTAGAGGGAATAAGCCCCTTGCCCGGAGCCACACAATTACAGAGCAGCAGAGCTGAGACTCACAGCAAACTCTGCTTCCAGAATTCTGCTCTGAATCACTGGTCTCCAAATGCTCTGGATCTTGCTCTCCATCAGAGACAAAAAGAGCAAAATTTAAAAATTCATTTTATACATATGCAACTCTCACTATGTACATTCAATGTCAGTAGAGCAGGAAGATAGGGAAAAAGCTAGTCACTTTCTAACGTTTCTTCCCTTGCCCTTGGGGCTGTCTGTGCACCCCTGGAGTGGGCACGCTCCCTTTGGAAGTAGGCTCTGGACCCCTCTCTGGATTGTACTCAGATGCCAGGACCACATGTACTTCAATGGCCAGGGTCTTTTCCAAGGGCGGGCAGCCCTGCTCTAGAGAGAACTCAGGGGATTTGGGAAGGCAGGGGAAACACTGATCCTACATTTTGTCCATTGCATTGGCTTCATCACAAGAGGCTGGGCGGTTCTCAAGCCTTATGGTTGCAAAGGCTTTGTAAGATTCAGATGACCACTAGAAGGCATGTTTCTTTTATAGAAATGTCCATAATGGCTGAAAAGTGAAAGGGAGTGAATGCTTCATCAAGGGCCCGTGAGCTCCAGGAAGCCTTGGAGGTCAGGTGCTGACAGTCAGAATGCTCTCAGTGGAGGTCATCATTGACCGAAGGAGGGGCGCGGGATCGGGCGGGTGGCAGCACGCAAATGTTCCACAGAGAGATAAAATACCCTAATAACCCTCCTTTCATGAGGTCAGAAACCTGCATTTGTCTAGCTTGCCAAGGCATTGGAGATAGTGGAGGGGAGCCAATACCATCTGGGCTTCTCCATGTGCAGAGCCTCTTCCTGAGAGTACATCAGGATGTCAGGGAGGCAGGCGGTCTCAGAGTGGGCCAGCAAGTCTTGGAAGGTGTCATTCATAAAATATTGAAACACCGAGGCTGCGGAGCACAAACCAAATGGCCATGACAGGTTCTGCACAGGGGAGAGTACAATGGAACCCGACCTCCATTCATTCCTGACTCTCATCCGGCTCAGTGGGCTCCAGTGTGTGTGGACTTCAGCCATGGGAGCAGGTCCGGTGCTGAAATTAGCAGAAGCAAGCACTCGCCATGGATGGTCACTTTGGGAAGGGCACCACTCGCAGTTTTACAACACTGTTCTGTTTCTTTGTAACAAAATATAGCAGAGTCTCAGCCAAAAAGAGGATGGCACATAAACCTTTGTCCTAAAGCTATGTTGAGGGATTGAAAAGAGGGTGCAAGCCCTACTTCTGACCATGCCCAGGTTTCTGGGTGGCTAGCACAATCCAACAGGGAGGGCTAGGCTGCAGGGAGGAGAGAGTGATGGGGAGGAAAGAGTAATATGATATTATGTTCAATTCTACAGAGCAACACATGTTCTAACATGTGTGAGACTGACTGCCTCTCCTCTATGAAGAGATGCCAGTGACAGCCAGGACTGGTGTAGGCTCTATTGAGCATCACAGTCATATGTGAGTGCCCAAGAGAAGCTATTCACTTTCTCAGGTAGGTGTCTCCCTCTGACTGCTCATCCCCTTCTTACAGAACCTGCCAGACCCCTTTTCAGGGAGTCTTCTGCAGACAGATAGACAGAGGGAAGAGGGAGCCTGCCCCAACCCAGAGTTGATTGAATCCAGGTTGGACACTGAGTTCCCCCCACCCCCACTAAGATGGGCCTCTCTCATCCTCTTTTGTGGAATTTGAACCAAGAGACTCACGTAATTTCCTCTGGGGTCTTGAAATATGAAGGGATTTAACACAGAGACGGGTGGGAGGTGGGCAGCCATGTTGGATCTTCCATAGAGAAATGAGGACATTGTGTCTACAGAGAGACAGACACACACACATAAGGCAGATGGGGGCAGAGATGCAGAGATGAGCTCAGCAGCCCTGAATCAAGTGGCTTAACAGACCCCTGTCCTTGACTCTCCAGACCCCAGTTGTGGTCCCACGTGGGGCCTGCTGCATGCCCTGTCGTTGGGTTCTTTGAGCTACCCTTGTAGCCTCCAAGAAATCCACTTTGCCCTGAGCTAGGAAGAACGGTTCTTGTGCCAGGTGATTCTGGACTGAGACACCCTATACCCTGCCAATGCAGGAGGCCAGTGTGGGATTCCGGAGCCCCAGGTGACACATAGCTTTCCTCCTACCTTAACCCAGCACGCATTCACTGACTCTTCCCACATGCCAAGCATGCGGCGAGAGGCTGGGACACGAGGCGTGACACACACCCATGCACATGCTTTCTCTCAATGCCCGCTTCAGTTCCTAAAGAATGAGGAAATAACAGAATCACTTCCCTTTCATCAGTTGACATCAGCATTCCTGTTTTTGTGACATTCTACGTGTCTCCAACATCTGTGATGGCAGCGCCCCAGAAAGGGATATAAACTGGGAAGTGGGTGGAAGTGACAACAATAGCCTGAATTTATATGCTTCTCCCTTAAACAGGTGGATCTGGGGGAAATATTTTGAGCTCCATTTAATGCAGAGCCAAGTGGGGATAATTTGATTCCTTTTGCTTCCTCAGATGCGGTTTGCAGAGGGAACTTCACAGGCTCTCTGGGATTGCTCACATTTGGCAGCTAAAGTGGAATCACCAATCCAAAATACTCACCCCAGGCGTGGGGTCACTCCCAGTGGCGGAGATGCCCTGCATTTCCATTGCCTGGACTGAGGAACAGATGAAAGGGGAACCACACCAGGGTGGTGGCCTGGGATGTGCCTACTCCCTAAGCCAAGCTTCTCTGTCCTGAGTGGGCTTAGGGTCCCCTGCAGCGTGGGTGTTAAATGCTGCTTCCTAGGCCTCACCCTCAGAGCTTCCAGTTCAGTCGAGTCCAGGTCCCTAACCTGTCGTCGTCCAATTGATTTTGATCAGGTGCCCCATGGCCCCACTTTGAGAAGCAGATCGAGTCCACCTGTGCATCTTCCCTGTTGTCCCTAAAAATAAGGCTAAAAAAAGGCACCAGTTCAAAAATCCAGTTTATTTGTTTGAAGTTCAGGTTTACAGTTCCTCCAATTCTCAGATCGCAGAAGAAGCATCTGGAAGGAAATGACCCCTGCACCCACCACACCCCAACTACAGCCAAGGGAGTTCACGCCCACAATCTCTGGGCTCCTTCCACGGCAGGGAAGCCTTTGATTCTGCACCTACCCCTTGAGTCTAGAGGTCATAGGCAGCCAGTGGACATTTCTGGGTTTTGGGTCAGCTGCAGCTGCATTCCTGGGCGGGGGCTGTGTGATGTGCTGAGTGTGTCTTGGAAGGGTCGCTGGAATCCACTTACCTGGGATGCTGCTCCTAAACACCCCTTTTCCAGCTGCGGCCGGGGTCACCTGCAACATCAGTTCAGCCACGCAGGTGATCCAACCGGCTTCATTTCACCCATCCTCACTAGAATCTCAGTTTAACCAACAGAGCTCCAGTGTTGTTTTCATGACAAACCCCCCATCTTAAGTCAGGGTCTGGTAAGTGGCCCCTGCCTTGATTCCTAGGCTTGAGTTTCCTTCTTGATAATCTGCCCATTCTTTAGTTTTCCCAAGGCTGAGACTCTACTTTCCTATCTTCAAAAAACTTCTCCCTGGGGACAGAGAGTCTGCTTTTGTAGACAAATTTT
The DNA here is from genome assembly GCF_000001405.40 of Homo sapiens. Classification (NCBI taxonomy): domain Eukaryota; kingdom Metazoa; phylum Chordata; class Mammalia; order Primates; family Hominidae; genus Homo; species Homo sapiens. The sequence continues at coordinate 232,186,183 of NC_000001.11, forward strand.
GTAGACATCGAATCCTGCTGTCTGCTGGGTGCCCCTGTCACCATGCCCTGCCTAGGTGACGTGATATCACCTTTGGGGTTCCCAGTTTCTCACCACCTGCCTGGATTGCCCCCTGTGCAGTAGCCAGTCTCTAGAGCCACCCTCTACCCACCTGGCCTTGCTTTCTACCATGTTTCCCCACCCAGTCCACCTTGGGACTGTTCCAACTTGCTCCTGGCAAAGGGCTATTGAGTTTCTAGGTCTCAGTCCCTCTTCACCAGGCTTGTCTAAGGCCTAGTTCCAACAGATTTAAAGGCAACTGGAGGCCAGGATCATTGGCTCATGCCTGTAATCCCAGCACTTTGGGAGACCGAGGAAGAAGGATCATTTGAGCTCACGAGTTCAAGGCCAAGCCACTCTGCTTCTACAAGAAAAAACAAGAAACAAAAAACAAAAAACACACACACATTAGTCAGACGTGGTAGTGTGCCTGTACTCCTAGCTACTTGAAAGGCTAAGACAACAGGACACTTGAGTCCAGGAGATGAAGGTTGCAGTGAGCTATGATTGCACCTCTGCACGCTAGCCTGAGCAGCCGAGTGAGACCCTGTCTCCAGAAAAAATAAATAATTTAAAATAAAAAATAAAAATCTCCCAGGGGTATAATTGTTTCTCACTTAGCTTCTAAACTGGATTGAAATATGAGTCAGGGCTCTTGGTTAGAAAACTAGTACCCCTGCTATTTAAGCAAAATATAAGGCTTTGTGAAGAAAAGAAAACATGGGGGTGAGAAGCAGAGAGGAATGAGTAGAAATAGGGAGACTGGTGGCTATTTCCCCACAAATCTTAGATTGTATCCTGGAATCTTTCCTTTCCTACTCTTTGGATCAGCCTGGGCTCTTAGAAAACATCCTGAGGCACTGTCCTCCTGAGTCCCCCTAGGGTGACTAAGCAATTGGAATGCTTCTGCTGCTTCCCTGCTCTCAGCCCCTCTGGGGTCGCATGCGCCATCTGGATGCTGTTCTGCCATCCACTCTGACAGCCTCTTTGTGCCTCTCTGCTCTTGGTCCCCTGGGAAGCAGTGTAACGTGGGTGCTGAGAGCATTCACACCAGTGGGGTGGTTTCAAATCCCAACTCTGCTACTTATCACCTGTCTGACCTCAGGGAAGTCACTTAGTACCTCTGACCTCAGTTTCCCCACCTGAAAAGGAGCGTATGTTTGGCATATACTTATGAGGGTGCTGTGAGGATTAAATGAATTAAATATGTATAAGGTTCTTGGAACAGTGCCTGGCCCATAGCAAGTACTATCCCGTATAAGCATTCTTTATGATTATTGTGGCTCTCTCTCCATTCTAGTTAATTTTCTCATCATCTTCTTTACTACCCAGTCTGGTCTGCATGCATTCCCATAAGGTTTCTATAATCTCTTTCACCTCCATTCATAACACTGCAACATCTTCCTCAATTTCAGCTCGATTCTGAGCCCACCTCCTCTAATGTGGAATCCACACTTTCCTAACAAGCAAGAGAGTAGCCATTTTTACTAGGGATCCTTAATCAGAGTTAATATTTACTCAAGATTTTAGTGAAGCTTCTACTATCTGGACTGTCAGATTTGGAGTCAAAGGTGGTGCCTGGGTTTCTCTATGCTTCTCATGTCTTGCCTGATACTGGGCAGCCGGTGGCATGCTCTCTGCAAGCACTGCTTCCCTTCACTGTACACTCCAGAATATCCTTTGCATGTGCTAGGCTGTATGTCTACTAGGTGCATAGTTGGTTTGGCCAATAGCTAGACTGTCATTTAAAGACTGTTACATGGAGCACTCTCTGACTGTGTGATTGCCATGACTGCATGATGGAACTGTGAGACAAAAGCGAGACCCTGTCCGTAATGAAGAACCCCCCTAGAAGAAGCTCTTCTTCCAAGTCTATAAAACAAACCCATCTTAAGTTGGTTACTAGGGTCCAAAATTCCAGGACTTTCACCAGAATACTTTACAGATCAAAGTTCAGTAGGAAAATTTAATAAAGCTACAGCCTCGGGTGTGATTATTCTCAAAGCATGACATTTACATCAGTTCACCAAAATCTCCCCTTTAGGCCACAGCGTTTCAGTAATTCGGGTCTTTAGTAGGGGAGATAATATTTTTTGCCATGCTATAAGATGTTTTCTTTTGGAGGTATATATTTTCTGCAGTGAACACCAAGAATGTTAAAGGGCCATCAATTTAACTTTGATTTCATGAAGTGTGAGGAAAGTGGCAGCAGGCTGCGGCACTTTTGCCAGGGGGTGGCAATTAAGCAGGTTGAGAAGGGACTTGAGCAAGGCAGGGACTCACTCTGAAATGAAATTACTGGAATTTGCTCTGTCGGAACTGTGATTCATGCAGAGATCTGAGAAGCAAGCCTGAAGACTAATGAAACTACCTTCCTTTAAACTCCAAGCTAAGTAGCTAACAAGCCCTCTCTACCTTGTTGGTAAAGTCAGATGTTTTTTCAGCTTCATCACAGAAGGTGTCCCTGATAACTGGTTCTACAATACTCCATGTTGATGGAGAACCTTCATTTTCCACTTATCTGCATATTGATTGCATAAACATATGTCCCCTAGGGAATTTGTAGTGGCAGTAAACTTCACAGGCTTCCTTACATATTTATAGCTGGAAGAAAGGCCTCAAGGGAGTGTTGTACCTTGATTGAGGTGCCCCCCTGGAACTCCAGGCTTATTGGTAGGACCACTGAATTCCAAGACTAGTGTCTCAATTCGGAAGATACAGGATTTAGCAGTCCAACGCTTTTGATTTCAAAAGACTAATTTATTCACTGATATTGGGAGATCAGCCTAGGAACTGGCGCTGGTGATTTATCTGAAACATCATTCCCTTTCTGGACAGGAAGTACAAGAGGCAAATGAAATTATGGATCAAAAGTTATAGTGTGTATAAAAGAGTAAAAATACTTGGAAATTGTTAAGGGAATATTTGTTCCAACTAATGTTCTCTTGGACCCAAGGTGTCATAGTATACTGTATACACAGTTACTGTATCACACTTTTGTCTCTCTTTCCTGCTCTATTATTATATCCTAAGGTCAGAGTCTGGGTCTTGTTCAGCTTTGTGTCTCTAGTGCCCACAGCAGAGTCAGCACTCACTAAAGGCTTATTAAATAAAAGCTGAATTAAAGAAGGAAGGCTTTGTTTTCGATCTTGAAAAATAAGTTAGTTTCAGGGCAGTGAAATATTCTGTATGATACTGTAGCATTGGATACATGTCATTATAGCCCATAAAATGTACAACAAGAGTGAACCCTCATGAAACCTGTGGACTGTGGGTGATGGTGTGTCAAGGTAGGCTAATGAATTACAGCAAATGGACCACTCTGGTGGAGGATGTTGATAGTAGCGAAGGCTGTGCAGTGTGTGGGGACTGGGTATACATGGGAATTCCCTGTAGTTTCCACTCGATTTTCGTTACCAAGCTAAACTTGGGTCTGCTTGCCCAGCATGCAGAAAAAGCTAAACATTGACACCTGGATTTGCAGTGAGAGAAACTGAGGCATTTATTGCAGAATGCCAAGCAAGGAGAATCAGGCAGCAAATGCTTAAGATCCAACATCCCCAATGGCTTATAAGCAAGGGTTTTTAAAGGGAGGAATGTATTTCAGGAAAGCAGAAGTTACAGGCAAAATCATAAATCTATACATGAAAACTATATATTGGCTTGGTCTAAGAAGGCACGATATCTTGAAGCAGGGGATTGCAGGTCATAGGTGGATTCAGAGATTCTTTGATTTGCAATTGGTTAAGGAGGCGAGGCTTTGTCTAAAATCTTGGGGTCAGCAGAAAGGAATGTTAAGGTCTGGCCTGGGGGTGTGACTCTCTCCAGGCCCCCCAGGAAGAAATTTAAAACAAAGAACAACTGTCAGAGTTCAGTCCTCAGTTCCCCTTTATTTGAGATCTATGTGACGGCAGTCAGTATTTTCCATCTGGTGGGGGGTCCTGGTTTCTGAAAAACAACTCTGAAACATATGTTAAGATGTTGTCTTTAGCTTCTATAGGGAACCAAACATCTTGTGACTAACTTACTTGAGCGGGTATTAAGCTTATTATTCAATACCTTCATGCTTAGTGGGTTATTCACTTATTTTCCAAGTCTAGGTGTCTGGAATTTAATTCCAAGCTAGGTGCCTTGAATTTCCCTTGAGAGGACTAAAGATTTTTCCTTTATTTTCATGCCTGGGGGATCTGGAGGGCTCTAAGTGGGGTCCCTGCACCATCTCGTTTCGCTGTGAACCTAAAACTGCTCTAAAAAATGAGGTCTATTTAAAAAAAAAAATAAGCCAGATTTCAAAATGGAGTGATGGTGAGTGAAGTTATTCAAGGCAGAGAGGACATCATGAGGCAAAATACTGAGGTGGTGGTCCTGTGTGGGATGAGGATTAGAAACACAGACTCCAGAAAATTAGTGACGTTCCAGTTTGGCTTCTGGAAACTATATATGTAAGGGGAATCATGAGAGCTAAGAACTGCAAAACAGTTCAAGGAGAGAGGATGAAGGCCTGGGATAAACTAAAATCTTCAACTTAGTTGAGTGGGCAGCAGGGAGTCACTGAAAGCTTCTCAGGGTACATTGCAGCAAGGATTAAAGTTGCTATTAAATCTGGGTCAAATTGTTAGATTCCTTTATTTCATCTAGGTTAGTGATCTCCAATTGCACTGCATCAGTTACTCCCTTCAGGTATAAACAGCAGAAGCATCAAATATATTTGCCTAGAGTCACAATGAGTTGTACACCTCCTCACTATTTCCTCACTCTACATTCAGATAGTTTCAAAACAAAAACTTACTGTGATTAGACTCAATGGTTTTTTTTTTATTATTACTTCCCCCTACTTTTGCCTTTTTCTTTTAGCTTCAATACAACATCTATCCCAGATCCCTCCCACAGATGTGCAGTGAAGGAGGTAAGAGCAGAGATCTGGTTAAAGAAGGCAGGATGGGGGCAATCGGCATGATGCCCAGGAAGCTCTACAGCTCTTAAAGAGACAGCAGGAAAAATGCTTATCTAGAAATTTCCTCATGCCAATACTCCTTATTCCAGGGAACTGCAGAGAGGATAGAGAAGTCACCCTCAGTCATAAGAGGAGCTCGCTCTTAACCGTCACCAGGGAGAGGCACTCTGAAACTGGTTGTCAGTGAGATTCCCTTCTGACCAGATCCTCTCTTTGGGCTGCTGAGAACACCCACTTTATGGGAATACCATCTTATAGTAAAGGCACCAATGAGAATGCTTTATGTGGGCTGGGATGATAAATTCAGATAGTATTGATATGGTAGAGGGGCAGGGAAGTGATGGGAGGAGAGGGCTCCACCCCCAGGCCTGTGACCACAGACCTAGGTGAGGACAGGCATTTCTGTTTTCCTGTCCAAATGTTGCATTTTCCAAGACCCCCTTGGCCCACCATGCCCCCATCCTGTGCCTAGAAAAACCCTGAGACCCTAGAGGGCAGAGACACAAGCAGCTGGACATCGAGAGGAACACACTGGCAGAAGAGCACACCGACAGGCACTGGCAGATGCCGTCAGGCCATGGACCAGTGGAACAACATGGAGTTTGGCCAGGGCGGTCAGATGAGAGCCCCGCTGCTAGGCTGCCCGACTCCAGGGTGAAACCACCACCTTCCCACTCCATCCCCCTTCTGGCTTCCCCTTCCACCTCACTGAGAGCTACCATCACTCAATAAAACATTTTGCACCCATCCTCCAAGCCCAAGTGTGATCCAAGTACACCAAGGCAAGAAGCCGGGATATAGAAAGCCCTCTGTCCTTGTGATAAGGCAGAGGGGTCGAATTGAGCTGATTAAACCAAGCTGCCTACAGATGGTGAAAGTAAAAGGGCACACTGTAACATGCCCACTGGGGCTTCAGGATCTGTAAACATTCACCCTAGACGCTGCGATGGTGTCGGAGCCCACACTCCCCATGATCTGCCCACCTACTCTACCTGCTTTCCCTAGGGGTTTTGAGCAGTGGGGCACTGAAGAAGCGAGCCGCATCTCCATCGCATGCCCTGGAGGGGGACAAGGAAACTTTTTCCATTTCGGTATGGAATGCTGAGATGGTAGGAAAGACAGGTAATTACTGTAGCATTAACCTGGAAGCACACAGAGGAGATGGTGAAAGGAAACAGATTGGGTAAATAATAATGCTAGCAACCAGCAGTCCATTCTATTGCTTTGCGATATTTCCTAACTTTCTCTCCATGGGATTCTCACCATTGTGGAGACCCAGTAAGAAGAGAAGGGGGTGGTTAGCACAGTGGTTCCTAGGTCAGGAAGAGTTCTGGAGAGGCTAACATTTGAAATGATACTAATGCAATAGCTGAAATGTAATAAACTCTGCCAATTCCTGTTCAACGGGCTTCACCTGGATTACCCCTCACTGTAAGGCAAGTTCTATTATTAAGTCCCTTCCAGAGGTGGGGACACAAGGTAAAAAGAGGTTATGTAACTTACTTACTGATGTTTACAAGGTATGTAAATAGCAGATCCTGTCTGTCTATCTCCAGAAACGGTGCCACTCATACTGCTGAAGAAAGAGCTGGTACAGAGAGAAAGGTGAAATGGGAAAACATAGGCTGTCTTTGGACAGCTTCTTCCCAGATTGTTTTTGGGAAGCATTTTGGTTTGGCATTCTCCCAAAATGCTTTTCAAGACCCTTTATATAAAAACAAAAGTCTCTTCCTTGACTGTTTCTGTTCCTGGTTCAAACTTCCACAGCTTCATCCATGCCTTATCCTCTGTCTATGAGTCACACAGCATGCATACCAGGGCAGGTGGCTATCTTGGCTAAGGACACAAAAACATAGGCAGAAAAGGTCGATCCATGTGCCTGTGTGTACATGTATGTATGGTGCATTCTTGCAGGGCAGGGAGCTGCACTCTGCCTTAGAGACTGGGATGGGCTGTGTAGGTGGGTAGTTCAAGGCCAACTAGTTCTGGAAGGCTGTTTTGCTTTGTGTTTGTTTTCCTTTTGGAAAATGTCAAGTTATTTAAACTTGACCCACAATCACTGATAAAAATCTTATAAAGTATTTTCCTCTGAAAGCAGATAGCATTTGGCCAGCCACTCTTGATTATACTATGTTGCAGGGAAATGAAAAATGACTTTCTTCCACCCCTCTATGTTCCTTGGCTGGGCTACGAATTAAATTGACATGAGACAGATGAACAGGAGAAAAAAACATATTTAATTACGTACATACTTATGGGATTCTCACAAATAAGAGACTTAAAGAGGGTCAGATGACTGGGGCTTATGCAGCTTCCTGAGATACAGAAAGGACTAGGGGATTGGGGCTTAGGGCTTATGGAGTGGGGGTGGTGACTCAAGTTATGGAAGGGTTAGGGGAGGAAATGTATAGTGAACAAAGGTTGACTTGCTATGCAGATAAGAAGACTTTCAGGTAATAAAAGTTGTCTCTGAGCAGCCTTCACAAGATTAGGTGATTGGTCTGTCTGGGCATGGTGTCAACCTCCAATCTTTCTCTTCTGTGATCTGAATTAATCTTCTCTGTTTGAGAAGATTCCTAGGGAAAGGATTCATGACAATTGAGCTCCTTTTGCAGGATCATCTTTAGGCAGGTAAGGGGAGCTCAGGGAAGCCACTGCCTGCATCTGCTAATATTCCCCCAAGTGCCCTCACTTCAAAGTAAGCAGCATACTGAAGTGTCATATCTTGGGGTGGCATTTCCTGAACTCCTTCAATGTATATACCCTTCCATGATACAGGATAGTTAGGTGTGGGCAGGGTGAGAGCTCAATGCAGAATTGAGGAATAATATGATTGCAGTTATGAATAAGGCCTCCAGATCCAGGACCTCCCCATATTCCCTCCCTTAAGGGCCTTAAGGGTCTGTTATTCTGTTTCCCTTTTCATTCAACTATCAAGAAAATTTAGTGTTTTCAAACGGGCTAAGGAGAGACTCTGTGGGGAAAGAAACCCTTTGACCGTCCAGAGACATCTCCAGATTGCCCAAAACGTGGCAGAAATAAATGGTATTATTCTTGGAATCAGTCCTAATGTTCACCAATCAAAGATTTTAAAAGTCTTAAAAGAGCCATGGGGTAGGCTAATGAGGTACCTAAGAGAAAACAGCATGGGCATGTTTTGAGTCAACAATATGAACCAACAAGTCCCTAGGTGCAACATTTGCCATATCATCTCCCTGTAGCAATGTGAAAGAAAGTAAAGTTAGGGACTATATTCAGAGAAATAAGACCATGACCAAGGCCTTTGCTTCACATTGCTGCCTGTGAAGCAATATTCTGCCTGTGTGCAAATATTGCCACAACCCCTAAATGGAAGCACTTAGGAGACAGAATTTACCAACACGCTCCTCATCTTGGGTGGAGTCAGGAGCTGGGTCAAGTAAGGATGGGAAATGCAATGGAGCACCAGTGAAGGCCTCAAAGGAAAAGAAACTATGCAAATCACATGGATTTGCATGGCTGGAGGAGCTCTAGGGCTGTCATCCTGTTGGAAAGACCTTAGACTTGGAGGCACAGAACACAGATGAGTTGCCTGCCCACTCCCTCAGTTCTCCCAAAACTGCTACATAGCCAGAATCTTCTAGATGCAGAGAGGTTAACTTATTACATACTGTGAATGCCTTAGGTTGTGCATTAGGACTCAATTTTTTCCAGGGAGTTCCCTGGTTGAGAAATTGCCTTTTTTTTTAAGTGTCAATAATATTATTTATTAAGGAAAAATCAACTTTTCAAAACTCCAGGGGCCCGGTAGGGATGTTGACCTGCAAGTTGGAGGAGGCCATTTCAACAAATACAGTATGCACAAGCATTATGAGGGATGCAGATGTGACTGGGATCGTATGAAGCCTGTTTCTGAGATTCTGGTAAGATCAGCTCAAAGCCCTCATCCAAGCCCCATGGAGAGTTGGTTGCCTCCCTAAGATTTCTGTGGTTTCCCAAGGATTTTGCCTTCTCTGATGCCTTTGGCCCCAGCAGCCTATCTTAACAGAATACTTGCCATCCACTTTGTGTCATTTAGGTCTTTATTTCTACCCTAGTGTTGATAAAAATATGGGACTCATAGTCTTTTCTTGAATTACTCAAAACCCTCATCTGATGTCTTTGTGTATGCAGTGAACTTACCTGGAAGCAACATTAGCAACTGATGATTAAATATCAGACCTCTATAGCCTAAAATAGCTTTGTCTACCCATCAGGTGGCCAGCCCTCTCTGCCATCTCCAGTCCTCAGAGCCCTCCTTCGTATGCCTAGCTTTCAGCAGTCCCTGCCCTATACTCGGCTCAGAGCTTCTCTTTATACTCAAGGACTCCATTCAGCTCAGGCTTAGAGATGACTGCTTGAAATAGAATGATTATTTTCACACTAGGCACCTCTTTCCTCTCCAGGCTGTGGTGGAGAATCTGGAGATGTAATTTCTTTCCAATGACGTAAGATAGATAAAATGATTTCTGTCTTTAAGAGCCTTAAATCCAGTTGGAAAATCATTTAATAATTAATAGGTTGTATGGAAAAAGAATACGGTCAGAGTTAGAGACGTGTACTCAATCTTCCAGTGCTGCCCTGATAAGCCAATGACCTTGGACAAGTTACTTATATGGTTTCTCACCTGTAAAATATGGATTCTATCATGCAATGTTGAGAGCTGTTATAAATGTGAAGCTATATGTTTAAAATGGCTAACACAGTGCTGGCATCATGGCACGCAGTAATGAAGTCCAGAAATTTTTATTCATTCCTAAAATACCTGTCATGCAGTAGATGAATATTAAGTGTTAGCTACCTTCTTAAGAACAATATCTTAAAAGTTAAATAGAACATCGGCAACATATGAGATGGTGTGAAATAAAATGAACATGGAGGAATTCTTTTCCTCCAAAGAGTGTGATTTTGTTTAAAAGGCCTCTGAAATAAAACAAGAATGCATTCCACAGGAGGGCTTAAAGACAAAACAGTTCTCCATGTCTCCTTGTTCAGCCCAACAGGTTAACTCAGCATTTCTCTGGTGTATAGTATAGTGCCTTTGTGCCCAAAGATCATATTGCACATAAACATTTGTAAGCAGTGGGTCATACTTCAGGAAGAGTTGTGAGGTAAAGGAAGCAAGCACTTGTGGAAGAGGGTGATGTAAACATTTAGAAACACTTAGATAGGGACTTTGGGCAAACAAAGAGAGGAAAGGAGAGAATTTGAATGATCCCATGAGCGAAGTGGAAATGATGCAAGTATAATCTCGTATATTTTCTAAATGTCGGAAAGACTCATAAGTAAAACATCTTAGAGAGATGAGAGTCCATTGATTTTTATAATTTACTTTAAAATTTACCTACAGGAGACGTATTAGGGTTCTGTAGAGGGACAGAACTAATAGGATATATATATATATGTGTATATATATATATATATATATATATATGTGTGTGTGTATATATATATATATATCCTGTATTCCATATAAATATATATATGAGTTTATTAAGTATTTAGTATTAATATTAAGTATTAACTTACACTATCACAATGTTCCCACAATAGGCTGTCTGCAAGCTGAGGAGCAAGGAGAGAGAGTCTGAGTCCCAAAACTGAAGAACTTGAGGTCTGATGTTCAAGGGCAGGAAGCATCCAGCATGGGAAAAAGATGTAGGCTGGCAGGCTAGGCCAGTCTCCCCTTTTCATGTTTTTCTGCCTGCTTTATATTCCCTGGCAACTGATTAGACTGCCCACCAGATTAAGGGTGGATCTGCCTTCCCCAGCCCACTGACTCAAATGTTTATCTCTTTTGGCAACACCCTCACAGACACACCCACGATCAATACTTTGTATCCTTCAATCCAATCAAGTTGACACCCAGTATTCACCATCACAAGTCCACCCCTTGTCAACTTGAACCCATACGCATCTCCTGAGATCATACATGATCTTCAAATAAAGACAATAATAAGGTCATAATTACACCTAACATAATACAACTATCCTTCGTACAACCAGAAATGCACTGATCCCCAACCCAAATCTGTTACACAAGGTTAACAGTACTTAAATCCTGATATGAAGTCAATAAATCTTATGTTTTATTGATGTTTATTGATGTTTCCACATGATAAAGAAAAAGGAAATATATTTTCATAGTACAATTGTATACGTGCACAAACATGTTTTTAGCAAAAGAAGGAGGAAATACTCATGACAATTAAAATCCCCATTTCTGTAGCTGGTCACGTGGTTGTAGCTGGTATTGATGACTACCTTCTTCTACTACCCATTCTGTATTCCCTTTGTCTTCAGCAAGCACCTCAGCAGGTCGTGGTTTTTTCCTGGTGGAGTGACCCAAACCTTAATTCCTGAGGGGTCTGGGCCATTTGCAGTTCTGCCAGGATTTGGCTGTTGTAGTTTCCCATAATCACAGGGCATGGTAATACTAAGAGATGCCCTAATGGATTTCCTGAATTCCATGTATACTCTTCCTTACCTCCATTGTGGAGTAGCACACTGATTTCATCGTGATAGTCTGGGTCAATCACCCCAGCCAACACTATAACTCCCTTCTTAGCCTGTTGACTTAAAGGTAGGAGGAGTCCAAAGTGTCCAGGTGGCAATCTTAACTTTCAGTGTAATAGAATTGCTGTTGTGTCTCCTAGTGGCAGAGTTCCTCCCTCTGGAACTAAGACCTCTAGGCCAGCAGAATGTACTGTTGTGGGAACAGGAAGCAAAAACTTTGGTAGTGAATCACTAGGGGTGATGGTGAGGGTGCAACTTGCACTTCCACTCCTTGATTCCTGGAGTCATGAATCCTGGCTACGGGAGAAACAATACCATATATTGGACGTTGATTCAGAGCATACACAGCCTTCTGAGAACTTTGCCAAAGCCCTGCAAAGTATTATCACCTAGTTGATGTTGTAATTGTGGCTTCAAAAGGCCATTCCACCATTCTGTCAATCCAGCTGCTTCAGGATGATGGGGAACATGGTAAGACCAGTTAATTCCATGAGCATGAGCCCACTGCCACACTTCTTTAGCTGTAAAGTGAATGCCTTGGTCAGAGGCAGTGCTGTGTGGAATACCATGACAGTGGATAATGCATTTTGTTAGTCCATAGATGGTAGTCCTGACAGAAGCATTGCAAGCAGGATAGGCAAGCCCATATCTGGAGTAAGTGTCTATTCCAGTGAGGAGAAACCTCTGGCCTTTCCATGATGGAAGAGGTCCAATATAATCAACCTGCCACCAGGTAGCTGGCTGATCACCTCGAGGAATAATGCCATATCAAGGGCTGCTGGCCCTTTATTTCTGCTGCTGGCAATTTGGACACTCAGCAGTGGCCATAGCCAGGTCAGCCTTGGTGAGTGGAAGTCCATGTTGCTGAGCCCACATGAAACCTGCATCCCTGCCACCATGGCCACTTTGTTCTTGGGCCCGTTGGGCAATGACAGGGGTGACTGGGGAAAGAGGCTGAGTGGTGTCCACAGAACGGTCATCCTATCCACTTGATTATTAAAATCCTCCTCTGCTGAGGTCACCCGTTGGTGAGCACTCACATGGGATACAAATATCTTCACAGTTTTTGACCACTCAAAGAGATCCATCCACATACTTCTTCCCCAAATTTCTTTGTCACCAATTTTCCAATCACACTCTTCTAAGTCCCTGACCATCCAGCCAAACTATTGACTACAGCCCATGAATCAGCATATAATTGCACATCTACCCATTTCTCCTGCCATGCAAAGTGCACAACCAGGTGCACTGCTCAAAATTCTGCCTACTGGGAAGATTTCCCTTCACTGCTGTCCTTCAGTAATGTCCTAGAAAGGGGCTGTAGTGTTGCAGCTGTCCACTTTTGGGTGGTCGCTGCCTATTGTATAGAACCATCTGTGAACCAGGCCCTAGTCTTCTTTTCCTCTATAAACTGATCATAGGGAACTCCTCATGAGGCTGGGGAAGAGAAGGCAAGGTGACAGGAGTGGAGATCATGGGCATTTGAGCCACTTCCTCATGTAATTTACTTGTGCCTTCAGGACCTGCTCGAGCCTGATCACGTATATACCACTTCCATTTGATGATGGAATGCTGCTGCACATGACCCACTTTATGGCTAGATGGGCCAGAAAGCTCCCAGTTAATGACAGGCAGTTCAGGTTGCATGGTGACTTGATACCCATAGTCAAACGTTCAGTTTCCACCAAAGCCCAGTAACAGGCCAAGAGCTGTCTCTCAAAAGGAGAGTAGTTATCTGCAGAAGATAGCAGGGCCTTGTTCCAAAATCCTAACGGCATCCACTTTGATTCACTTATGGGAGCCTGCCAAAGGCCCCAAACAGCATCCCTATCTGCCACTGACACCTCAAGCACCATTAGATCTGCTGGGTCATATGGCCCAAGTGACAGAACAGCTTGCACAGCAGCTTGAACCTGTTGCAGAGCCTTCTCTTCTGGACCCCACTCAAAACTGGAGCCTTTCAGGTCACTTGATAAATGGGCTGAAGTAACACACCCAAATGAGGAATGTGTTGCCTCCAAAATCCAAATAGGGTTACTAGGCATTGTGCCTCTTTCTTGGTTGTAGGAGGGGCCAAATGTGGCAACTTATCATTCACCTTAGAAGGAATATCTCGAGAGGCCCCACAACACTGGAACTCTAGAAATTTTACTGAGGTAGAAGGTCCCTGAATTTTAGTCAGGTTTATTTCCCAACCTCTGGCATACAAATCTCTCACCAATAAGTCCAGTGTGTTTGCTACTTCTTGCTCACTGGACCCAATGAGCATAATGTCATCAACGTAATGCACCAGTGTGATATCTCATGGAAACAAAAAGCAATCAAGGTCTCTTCTAATAAGATGATGACAGAAACCTGGAGAGTTGATATATCCTTGAGGTAGGACAATAAAGGTATATTGCAGGCCTTGCCAGCTGAAGGCAAACTGCTTCTGGTGGGCCTTATGAACAGGAAAGGAAAAAAAGTCATTTGCCAAGTCAATGGCTGCATACCAGGTACCAGGAGATGTATTAATTTGCTCAAGCAATGAAACTACATCTGGTACAGCAGCTGCAATTGGAGTCACCACTTGGTTAAGCTTACGATAATCCACTGTCATTCTCCAAGATCCATCAGTCTTCTGCATAGGCCAAATGGGGGAGTTGAATGGGGTTGTGGTGGGAATCACCACCCCTGCATCCTTCAAGTCCTTGATGGTGGCACTAATCTCCACAGTCCCTCCAGGGATGTGATATTGTTTTTGATTTACCATTTTTCTAGGTAGAGGAAGCTCTAATGGCTTCCATTTGGCCTTTCCCACCATAATAGCCCTCAGCCTACCTGTCAGGGACCCAATGTGGGGGTTCTGCCAGCTCCTAAGTATGTCTATGACAATTATGCATTCTGGCACTGGGGAAACAACCACAGGATGAGTCTGGGGACCCACTGGACCCACTGTAAGGTGGACCTGAGCTAAAACTCCATTAATTATCTGACCTCTATAAGCCCCTACTTTAACTGGGGGACCACAGTGATGTGTTGGGTCCCCTGGAATCAATGTCAGCTGAGAGCCAGTGTCCAGTAGGCCCCAAAATGTCAGATCATTTCCCTTTGCCCAGTGAATAGTTATCCTGGTAAAAGGCTGGAGGTCTCCTTGTTCCTCAAGGGGACCCAGCTTTCCCTTTATTCAAGGGATTCTGGGTCTGTAAACTGGCTCAAGTCTGGAAATTGATTGCGGGGCCTTGATTCTCTGTTTTTATAATTCAAATTAGTCTCTTGTCCATTCGACCTAGAAGTTTTCTGCTTGCATAAATTAAGTAGGAATGCAGTGGGCTTCCTATCAATTTCACTTCTAGGAACACCATGATTTATTAGTCAATGCCAGAGCTCTACACGAGTCAGAGTATTCTGATTGCCGCTTTGCTTCTGCTGTCCATTACTGTAGCTACACCCACCTTGCCTTTGACGCTGAGTGCCGCCACTTGGCCCCTGCCACCTCGGGGTCCAATTATTCCCATTGTATTTAAATTTTGCAGTTGAGTGACTGTGGTTCCCACTGTTAGATCTGACATACAGAGAAAAGCAATTACAGGGCTCGTGAAAGATGCAGGTGCTGCCTTCACAAATTTGTTTCACAAGGCATTGGTCAAGGGTATATCTTCTGGACCCTCCCAGCGGGGATAAGTAGGTCTAAAGTGGCTAATCCACCACACCATCCCAATCTCCCTAAGCCTTTGGATCCCTTCCTCTACATTAAACCAAGGGAGATCAGGCATTTCCAGCTCACTCACAGTGGGCCATCTTTTAATCTGTATTTCAGCTAACCCAGCAAATAAACTATTAGAACTTTTTTAAGTCCTCAAACTGCAACATTAAAAGTAGAGTCCCTACTTAGTGGGCCCACATCAATAAATTCAGCCTGATCCAACTCTATGTTCCTTCCACCATTATGAAAGCAGACAGAGAAAAATGATATACTACCTACAGAAGAACACCAATTCAAATGACAGTGGATTTTTCATCTAAAACCACAGAGATCAGAAGAAAGAATGCAACATTTTTTTTCAAGTGTTAAAAGAAAAGAACTGTAATTACAAATTCTATATCTGATAAAATTATCCTTCAGGAATGAAGGGGAAATAAATTCTCAGATGAAAGAAAACTTAAGGAATTTGCTGCTCATTGACCTACCCTTAAGCAATGGCTGAAGAAAGTCCTTCAATCAGATGGAAACAATAAAAGAAGGAAGCTTAGAGCGTGAGGAAGGAAGAAAGAACAATGAAAGGAGCACAAGTACAGGTACATACAACAGACAATTCTTTTCCTGATGACTTTTTAAAATCATATGTGGTGACTGAAGCAAAAATTATAACACCATTGGATGCTAAAAACAATGATACTTAAGAATGGGAAAGGTAAAAGAATTTAAATAGCAGTGAAGTTCAAACTTCACTAAAAATGGTAAAATGTTGATACCAGTAGACTATGGTAAGTTTCATATGTATATTATGATAACCAGAGCAAGCATTAGGAGCAACCACACAGAAATAGACAAAAAAAAAAAAAAAACTATGCATGAATTAAAATGTAATCTTAAAAAATATGCAAGTAATCCACATGAAGGCAATAAAAGACAAACAGAAAAATGAGGCCTAGAGAAAACATATGAAAAATAAATAATAAAATGGCAATTCTATCAATAATTACCTTGAAAGTAAATGCTCTAAATATATCAACCAAAAGACAGAGATTGAGAGAAAATTTTAAAAACATGTCTCAAATATATGCTGTTCACAGAAACTTATTTCAACTTCAATAATATAGATAGATCAAAAGTAAAAGGATGGAAAAAGATATAGCATGCAAACATTAAATTTTCCTAAAAAGCAGGAGATCCTGTATTAATATCAGATAAATTGGATTTTAAAGAAAACTTACTTGAGAAAAGGAAGGACATTACTAAATCATTAAAGAATCAATCCACCAGGAAGACGTAATAATTCTAAAGGTGTATGCCCCAAACATAGATTTTCTAACTACGAGAGGCAAAAACTGACAGAGCTGAAAGGAGAAATAGATAAATCCACAGTAATACTTGGGGATTTTAACCCTGCCCTCTTGGAAAGTAATGAAATGACTAGTCAAAATATCAATAAAGATGTAGGAGATCTAAACACCACAATCAACCAACTGAACCTAAATCGCGTGGATAGAACACTCTATCCAGCAATAACAGAATATACTTTTTTTTCAATTTTCTATAGAACATTCACCAAACTAGTTCATATCCTGGGCCACTACACAAACTTCAACAAATTTAAAATAATTTAAAACATGAGTTTGTTCTCTGATCATAGTGGAATCAAACCAGAAATCAGTAAGAGAAAGATAACAGAAAATATTTAAACAGGTGCTAATTAAACAACATGCTTCTAGTGATTCTTAGGCCAAACAAAAAATCTCAAAGGAAATAACAAATATATAAAATTAAATAAAAATATTTAAAAACATCAAACTTACGGGATGCATCTAAAGCAGTGCAGAGAGGGGAATTCGTAGCATTAAAGTGCAAATTAGTGTTAGAAAGGAGGAGAAGTCTCCAACCAATAATTTAAATTCTTACCTCAAGAAACTTGAAAAAAACAGACCAAAATAAACTCAAAGCAAACAGAAGGAAGGAAATAGCAAAAATAGCAAAAAGTTACTGTAATGCAAAACAGGAAAACAAGAGGGGAATGCAATGAAACAAGAAGTTGGTTTTTTAAAAAAAGAATCAATAAAATTAGTAAACCTCTTGACAAAAATAAAAAACAAATAAGTAAAAGAGTAAACCTCTGACAAAAACTAAAAAAAGAGAAGGCATATATTATCAATATCAGGAATAAAACAGGGAATGTCACTACAGATCTTGCAGCCATTGTGAGTGTAATAAGAGAACATCACGAGTGAAAAAAACAAGTTTACACTCATGTATACAGCAACTTCGAATAAATTAACCTGTTCCTTAAACAAAACTCTAGTACCAAACTCAACCAAGATAAAATAGATAATCTGAATAGTTACATAACCATTAAAGAAACTGAAGTTTTAATTTAAAATTTCCTGAAAAAGAAATCTCCAGCCCAGATGGCTTCATTAGAGAATCTTAACCAAATATTCTGTAGAAGAATAAAGAAGAATTAATGCCCATGTGACACAATCTCTTCCACAAAATAGAAGAGGGGAGAATAAGGCTGGGTGCAGTGGCTCACACCTGTAATCTCAGCATTTTGGGAGGCTGAGGTGGGTGGATTCCTTGAGCCTAGGAGTTTGAGATCAGCCTGGGCAACATGGCGAAACCCTGTCTCTACAAAAAATACAAAAATCAGCCAGCTGTGGTGGCACATGCCTGCAGTCCCAGCTAACACACACGCACGCACACACACACACACACACAAAAGAAAAAGAACAGAACATTTCTCAACTCCTTTTAAGGGGCTAGTATTAACCTGATACTAAAACCAGACAAATGAAGTACAAAGAATAAAAACTCTCATGAGAAAACAATGTCTTTCATGAATCTGATGCAAAAATCCACAACAAAATATATTAGCAGATTGAATCCAATCATGAACAATGACCAAGTAAGATTTATTCTATATATGCAAGGCTTATCCAATGTTCAAAAATCCATATTACACAATACTAATCTGCAATAAAATAAGAAAGAGTTATTGACACACAACATCCTGGATGAATCTTCAGGGAATTATGCTTAGTGTTAAAGGCCAATCCCACAAGGTTTCATACTGCATGATGTCATTTGTACAATACTTTTGAAATGACAAAATTTTAGAAATGGAGAACAGATTAGTTAGTGGTTGTCATGGGATAGGGATATGGATGATGGGGTGGGAGAAATGTTGGTGTGATTCTGAAATGGAAATGGGAAGGATCCTTATGAAACTGTTGTATATCTTACAGGTCTTGGTGTGTACATGAACCTAGAAGTAAACATTGCATAGAAGCAAATACACACACACACACACACACACACACACACACACACACACACACACCCAACAAAACACCACCCCTGACAGGTATAAATAAAACTGGGAAAACCTAAATAAGATCAGCTAATTGTATTAATGTCAATATCCTCATTGAAATATTATACTATAGTTTTGAAAAATATTCCCATTGGGAAATTGAGTGAAGGAGACGTGTGGTCTCTCTGTATTATTTCTTATGACTATATGTCTTTCTACAATTATATCAAAACAAAAGTTTAATTAAAAATACCAATCGATCATATTTAAGTGAGAATTTTTTTTCAAAGCATTAAAATAAAGAGCTCATATATTTACTCTTTGATCATTCATTGCTCTAGTTGAGGGTCTCTGCCCCTCCTTCTTCCACAATGATCAATGATCTCCTTCCCATCAAACATTCAGAATTAGACTGAAGAATAATATGCAGTATAATTTTGTCATTTAGAGATTTGTTTTGTTTTATTTTTGTTTTGTTGAGACAGGGTCTTGCTCTGTCACCCAGGCTGGACTGCAGTGGCACGATTATGGCCCACTGCAGGCTCAAGACTTCCCAGGCTCAAATGACCTTCCCACCTCAGTCTTCCGAGTAAGCTGAGACTACAGGCACATGCCACCACGCCCAGCTAATTTTTTTTTAAATTATTTCATTATGGGGCCTCACTCTGTTACCAGGCTGGCCTCAAACTCCTGGGCTCAAGTGATCCTCCTACCTTGGCCTCTCAGACTGCTGGGATTGCAGGCACGAGCCACCGCACCTGGCCCATTTTGGGTTTTGTGCCCTTCCTGAGCAGAAGTGGTGAATTCATTACTACTCCACCCAATATCTTAAGCTATTCAGTGCCAGTTGAATCCAACAACATTTTACATTTAAAGAGAATCAATAGCATTGCTTCTTGTTTTGTTTTCTACAACTAGCTTGCAATTAGAAGATAACTTATAACAATTCTAAAAACTTTTTCTGTTGATAATAGTTATAATCTTATTTAAACAAACCTATTGCATACAAAACTGACTGTCCCCAAAAAAGATTTTATATGATGCGAATTTCCTTTCGAATAGAATTTAATACTTTTCATTATAAAATAAATAGTGTGGTCAAATGTGATTATAACAAAGTGCTATTTATTTATCAATGGGGATTATATGATGAAAAGTAGATCTGGATTGTGTTAATAGAGGTATAGTCCCAGGTACTCCTCTGCAAGAACTTTGCAAAGCGATATAGACATTCCTCAACTTATGATGGAGTTATATGCCAAGGAATCCCTCATAAAAAATATCATAAGTCAAAAATGCATTTAATACACCTAACCTACCAAATGTCATAGATTAGCTTAGTGTACCTTAAATGTGCTCAGAACACATACATTAGCCTATAGTTGGGTAAAATCATCTATCACGAAGCCTGTTTTATAAATATAAGTATTGAATATCTCATGTAATTTATTGAATACTGTACAGAAAAATGAAAAACAAAATCGTTGTTTGGGTACTCACCATTAATGTACACAGCCTAAAGCACACTGGGTGTGAAGAGGGTTTTATGCATTGAACTAAAATTAATTGCTGGATAATGGGGATGCTACAGTTACAGGGTCATCACATTTCTCTCTCTCATGCTGAGGCTTGAGAATAGCTGCTAGAAGACAGTGGGGCATTGACACTTGTTGATGGTTTGGCAAGCATAGAGCTCTTCAGGAAGATAAGTTTTAACTGTGCAGTTCGTTTCTTCTTTTCTTTATATGTTTCTCTATAGCAAGCAAGAGCATCCTGCATCTGCCTGTCAGCACTTGAGAATCTCTGGTAATGGACGTCCATTTCTTCTACCATTCATAAGCCACTGCTGAGAGTAGCCAATGCCTCCACCAGTTTCTTTGCTGTAAACTTTCTTGGTGCGTCAGGTGTAACTTACTTTTCCTCTGCCTCAATTTCATTCTTTCTTTCTTCCTCAGTCTGATCAGTTTCTCCTTGGGAAGCTCTTCAGTCCCAATGCTGACAAGCTCACGAATATCCTCTTCATCACTGACAAGCTCACGAATATCCTCTTCATCAGCCTCCAATTCTGGCTGTTCCCCAAGCACTAATATTGTTAGTTACTATTTCATCAAGAGCAGAATCTTTGTTAAAGCCTTTGAATGCGTTTACACACGTCTTCAAAACTTTCCTCCAAATGCCATTCATGCATTGTTGTGTGATGGCTTCTCATGCTGGAGCAATGTTTCATGCAGTATTTAGAATGTTAAAACCTTTCCAAAACTCTCAGAGCGTTCGGTCAGATTCAGTCTCTTTAACAGCCTTTGCAAATATTGGTTGTAAGTAGCATGCTTAGAACACAGCTATTGTGCCTTGGTCCATGGGTTGAATGAGTGCGGCTATGTTCAGAGGTGGCAAATATACAACCTTTACATCAAGATGGATGTCACCGGATAAGCTATGGAGGACCTGGAGCATTGTCTAAGATCAGAGCAATCTTGAATGAGATGTTGCTTTGCCTACAATACTCTCTTGCCTGCAGAATAAAACACTTCAAACCCCAGTCTTTAAACAATGCTGATGTCATCCAGGCTTTCTTGTGATGGCAGTAATAAACAGGAAATGGATGCTTGTTCACATTCTCAAATGCTCTGGAGTTCCCTAAGTGGCAGATTAGGAAGGCTTTAATTTGAACCCTGCAACATTTTGACCCAAAAGCAGCATTCCAGGGTATTTGAATGCCTTGAATCCTGGCATTGTCTTGGCCTGTTAATATACATATGCACCAGCATACGCTTCCAGAGCAAGCTCATTTTATTGACATTAAATATTTATTCTGGCAAACATTTCTCATCCACAATTATCCTATGGAGCTTGTTCTTAAATACTTAAGGACCTTCAGTATTGGCAGTTGCTGCCTCACGGCTGAACTTCACATTATGAAAATTATGATGCCTTTTGAAGTGCTGGAACCTGCCCATGACTTGCTATAAGCATTTGCATATGGGAAAGATCATAGGAATGCTCTTTTAGTGTATTGAAAAGAGTTCTTGCCTTAGACTGGATCATCGGTAGGCTAAGCAGTATGTGCGTCTGTATCTGGTCTTCCACTCACGTGACAAGTAATTTTTCCAAATCGTCAATCAGCCCAGCTCTTTTCTTTGTGGTAACAGTAGATTTGACTGATGCTGATGGTTCCACTGCATCACAAATTTGCTTGTTATTCCTTAAGATGGTCGTGGCTTTCTAAAGTCCTAACTCACGTAAGATGGCCATTGCTGGCTTGCTGTCTCCAAACTGGGCAATTATTTGGAGTTTTGGCTCAAGAGTAATTGCTTCTGCTTTTTCTTCTCCCCAGATATAGATGGATGTTTTGCAGACATGATGGGATGCGAAAATTAAAAACACAATAGTCCAAAAAACACGGGAACACAGTACACTGTAGAGTATCAGTTGTTTGCCCTTGTGATAGCATGGATGATGGGGACCTGTGGCTCACTGTTGCTGCCCAACATTGCAAGAGAGTATTATACTGCATATCACTAGGGAAATGCTCAAAATTTTAAATTCAAAGTATCATTTCTACTGAGTGAGTTTCATTTTTGCACCATCATAAAGTTGAAAAATCATAAGTTGAATGATTCTAAGTCGGGGACCATCTGTTTACTCTTATCTTAAGCAGGGCAGTAACCAACCCAAAGAGGCCCCAGAACAACTAGCTCTAGTCCTGAAGTTGGCAAACTTTTTCTGTAAAGAACCAGAGAGTAAATATTTTAGGCTTCCTGGGCTGTATGATCTCTGTTGCAACTGCTCAACTCTGCCCTTTCAGGAAGAAATCAGCCATAGACAATCCATAAATCAATAGTGGGGACGGGCACAATGTCTCATATCTGTAATCCCAGCACTTTGGGAGGCTGAGTTGGGTGGATCGCTTGAGCCTAGGAGTTCAAGGCCAGCCTGGGCAACATGGCAAAACCCCATCTCTACAAAAAAAATACAAAAATTAGCTGGGCATGGTGGTGCACGCCTGTAGTACCAGCTACTTGGCAGGCTGCAGCAGGAGGATCTCTTGAGCCCGGGAGGTCGAGGCTGCAGTGAGCCATGTTCATGCCACTGCACTCCAGCCTGGGTGACAGAGTGAGACCCCATCTCAAAAAAAAAAAAAAAAAAAAAAAAGGTGTAGCTGTGTGCCAATAAAACTTTTTTGTGGAACCTAAAATTTGGATGTCATACAATTTTCAAGAGTCACAAACTATTGCTGTTCTTTGATTTTTCTTCAATCACTTAAAAGTGTACACAGGCCATACAAGAACAAGTGATGGGCTGGACTTGGCCTGCAAGCTGAGGATGTGGACTCCTGTTCTAGGTCATGAGACAGCCTGTTAAATATCAGCCCAGCTTCTGGAAAGAAAAACTAAGGAATTAAACTTGGTTCCAGTGATGTTAATGTGCATTTGACAACATAAAATCTATTCAGGTAGCTTGTCAAAAAATTAGCAAGAAATATTTTTGTAGGTACAAAACGATACGTTTCATTAAGAGATAGTAATGAAATTCATGTGAGTGTACCTATATGTATATATTATAGATGTATGTGTGTGTGTGTGTATGCTTATATTTCTTCCCCCCATAACCCACACTGAGTAAATACACAACAATGGGAATTATTTTCATGTTCCTGTCTGCAAGTAAAGGGTTAATCTGTGGACTATTAATTGCTCCTGAAATCCAGTCTGGAGCTGCTGCTGACACCAAGGAAATATTCTGCATTTATATTCAAAGCTGACAAACCTTGAGAAATCCTGCTGCTGGAAATGTGAGTAAATGTGCTTTCATCTGCAGTTTCTCTTTACCGTGCAGCTTGGAATGTGAGTACTGGCATCGTTGGGCACTGTCAGTCACCGCAACTGATTCAGAGTGAGACTGTAATTGAGTCAGAGAACTTCAGATGATGGTCTTAGGAACGATGCCATCTTTTTACCCACCTGAGGGGAATCTGTCCTTCTGAATGGAGCTATTTATTCTATTCCTTGGTCATCAGCTGTAAAGTTTGGGCATCATTAGAGATGACAGTGATTCACCTCCTTCAGTGGTATGTCGAGGGCCAATGGGAATTGTCAAAAAATCTAGGTGATTTTAATTTAAGATGAAAACTCAAATGTACTTCAGAGCCCATTTTCATTTTGTCATCCTTAGTTTTGAGAAAACTCCTTAGTATTATGCTCACTGTTTTTGGAATTTTCTTTTGTAGCAGCGGGTGGCTGCATTCCTTCACTTAAAGGCATTGTAATGATCCATTGTGTAATTTTATGGCCAAATAGCTGATAGAGATAAAACTTCTCATGAGTAACATTATCATACTGCCATTTGTTCCCAAAGCTACTTCTAAAACTTATTTTTAACCTTTGTCCCCTAAAACACTCTCTCACACTATTTTCTGCATATCCCCAAGAGACAATAATTTTGTACAAAATTTTCCTACGGGTAGAAAGTGGATAGACTTTTTCAAACTACATGAGCCTCACCTTCCCCCTGAGATTCTGATAAGTTTTCTCCCTCCAGACTTTGGGAATCCATTTGTTTGAATGTAGGGGTTTGAATCACATCACTCAAGATTCTGTATGTCTCTGATTCTTAGATTTCTCCATGACACTTATAGTGATTTACTGCAGACTATTGACTCATTTTTTTTCTTTTTACCAAGTCACTAATGCATGTACAGTTTGATACCAGGATAAAGAATGACATAATTTTCTTTCATTAAGAGTTCTCATTGGCCAAAGTCAGAAAGAAAAACAGAACAAAATGAATGTCTGCCTGATGCAAAATGCTAATCAGGGTCCAGGGAACTCAAAACAAATTAGACCAACTTCTCAGTACTCTGAAGAGGCTACTAGACCTTATTTCTACTTTTGCAGCAGAAATGTGGGAGATCCAGTTTGAGACCAGCCTGGCCAACATGGCGAAACCCTGTCTCTACCAAAAATACAAAAAATTAGCCAGGTGTGGTGGTGGGCACCTGTAATCCCAGATACTCGGGAGTCTGAGGCAGGAGAATCACTTGAGCCCGGGAGGCGGAGGTTACAGTTAGCTGAGATCATGCCAGTGCACTTCATGCCAATGCACTCCAGCCAGGGCAGAGCAAGACCCTGTCTCAAAAACAAACAAACCAACAAAAACCCACAAAAACAAACAAAAAGACAAGAAAAGAAAAATGGAAAAAACAAAAAAACAAACAAAAAAAAAAAACAAGAAATGTGGGAGGTCCTGGGGAGGTTAGGAGGAGAAGCACAGTGTGGTTGGCCTTCCCAGCAATCATAGGCACTGGATTTCCTTCCTGGAAGTAGTCCATCCAACTTTGACCCCCATTTCCAGGTTATCTCAGAATACCAGCGACGTGTTCAGTGTTTAAGTAGGAATATCATTTGCCATGGGTGGAGAAACAGGCCTAAAGAAGATAAATTCCGATCCAAGCCATACACTTAGCAGGGAGAAGACTCAAGGTAGCAATCACAATTGTCTGCCCTCATAGGTTGCCTCTCTTCCTCCCTCCTCTCAGGGGGTCACTCACTGAGAGAGCAGCATGGGCCAAGCCACATGGGAACCCAGCAGGATGCTGAATGCTGGGGTGCACTGCCCAGCTCTGCCTCTAGGGCTGAGGCACTCATTTGTTGGCTGAGCTGCTGTTAGATGGAGGAGGTCGGGTCTTCTCCCAAGGGACAGTGAGCATCCAATGACTGCTTGATGAGGAGGATATAAAGAACTGGCACTTGGTATGAAGAATTGGCATTGGGCCTTAAGGCAGGACAACTCTGAAGGGTCCTCCAGGTCCCTGAGGATTAGCTGAGGCCTTTGTTGTGAATGCATTAAGAGTAAATCCCAGCAGAGGTGTGCTGGCTTGTGTCTGTAATCCCTGCACTTTGGGAGGCTGAGGTGGGGAGATCACTTGAGGTCAGGAGTTTGAGACCAGCGTGGCCAACATGGTAAAACCCCATCTCTACTCAAGAAAAAAAAAATAAAGAAATAAAATAAAATAAAAAAATTAGCCGGGTTTGGTGGCAGGTGCCTGTAATCCCAGCTACCTGGGAGGCTGAGGCAAGAGAACCGCTTGAACCCAGAAGGTGGAGATTGTAGTGAGCCAAGATTGCACCACCGCACTCCAGCCTAGGCGACAAAGTGAGACTCTGTCTCAAAAAAAACAAAACAAAAAAACAAAATTAAATTCCTACCTCACCACATTTCTCATTCCTGTGAACATAGTCCCCTATATTCATCCAAATTAAGGATGCTCCCCAATAAACTTCCTTTCTGCAGAAAGGAAAGAAAAGAAACTGGAAAAAACTCTGAATTGCGTCAAAAACAGCTTCCTAAGGAACCACCAAAACAGGTCAAATAATAGCAATTATCTGGGAATGGAGTTTTGAGGCTGAAAATCTTTGCAGGACTCCCCATTACTTTCAGGATAAGATGAAAAGTCTATACTGGGACACGTAAAGTCTTTTAGGGTCTGGTCCCTGCCTAAATCCCCAGTCTCTTTGGCTGACAAGCTACTTAATGTTTAGACTGACCCTATTTTGTCCCCTCCAGTGGCTGCCAGGCTCCTGTTTTTCACCTGATTGAGAGCTTTTGTTTTCAAAATTATTGTGCAGCTGGGGAGGGAGGATAATAAGGAATAGGGCAAATTAGAGCAACACAAAGCTCACTGTTCTTACTGAGATTCAGCTCTTTTTCTTGAGAAATGTTCCCTGGGTTGCTGCAAGTGTTTTGTTAAGTTCCAGAGTTCTGGAAGTGGGAATTCCTACCATTTTTTGCCAGTATTCTCATTGCTTTTATAAAGGATGAGATTTTCAGAAGATCTTATTCTGTCATTTTTACTGATATCCAAACTAAGTTTTAAAGAGTGAATAGAGGAGAGGTTTGTTATGGCAAAGGTGACAGCTTGGGCGAAAAAAAAAAAAAAACAGATGGGAGAAAGTTTGACATATGCAGAAGCACTGCAAGCAGCTTGGAATTGCTGGAACATAAAGTTGAGACAAAGGAGCACAAGGAAAAAAGTTTGAGGAGGCAGGCAGTTGTCAGATAATGAGTGGTCCATGTGCTACATTTGAAGATGTTTAAACTTTTTTTGTCTCTCTCAGCTGTTTTCCTTTCAGGGCCAATTTCAAACCTCAGTGATTGCTGGAAGCCGGTATAGCCATGCAAACTCACAAGTTTTGAATTATCTGATACTAGTAACCTTCCCCTCACCATCTAAGCATTGTTCACCTATGGTCAACACTTCTATATAATTATCTCTTTAAAATTTCTAAATGCATTTTTAGCTAGCTGAGCCTAGCATTCAATACCTATCACTGCATCAAAAATAAATGGGCAGTATTTGTAAGACCTCTATTAACTGATTACTGGAGACTATTGAGAAGTGCTCCCATGTTCTTACTGGAGATTATTGAGAAGTCATTACTGGAGATTATTGAGAAGTCATTACTGGAGATTATTGAGAAGTGCTCCCATGTTCTTACTTTGGGGTATAACTCTTGATGATACAACTGTACCAGTAAGTGTTAGTTTGGAAAAATAGAAACCATTTTAGGTATTTTCACTAGGAGGAACTTAATATGAGGACTTAGAGGTTCATATAACCATTGGATATGTTGGAAGATTGAAGATTGAGAAGGCCCCTGGGGGCTTTCAGTGAATCCAAAAGTGGAGTGGTCATAAGAGGCCATCCTAGATGATCTTAGCTAACTGCAGCACAAGCGAATAATTTTCAGGGAACCCCCGGGAGCCACTGGCAATCCCCACATCTACCAGTTGCCAGTGCCTACATTCTTGCTTAGCAACTAATACAGGAGAATAGTGACGTATCTTCTGTCTGTGAAACCTCTTGCAAACACCTCATGTTGGTAGCCAGGGGGTGCTTGCTGCTGTACACTGAGATCTCCATTCAGCAATGAAGGACTTACCTCTTAGCTGCTGGGAGTGTTACCAGATGAAATTCTTCAGATATCAGCTATCTTTAGAAATTGCCCTCTGCCAAAGTTCAGAACCACCTTTCTCAAGGCCATGTTCTCTTCTCAAAGAAGCCTACCTTCAACAAGTGGTCAGTGTAAGGATATAAAGGTCCCAACTCAACCCAACTCAGGACATTTCTGAAGAGACAGCCCAGCTTCGGAAATCCCCATAGGGCTTGGTAAAGTCTGTTTTGTATCTCAGAACACCTGGGTCTCATCACAGAACAACTTCTCTCTCTGTCCAGTCCTGCTTCCTTCACTTTTTCCACAAGCCTTGAGCCTAAGGGACCTCCTCAATAAACTGATTATACACTAATCTCCATCTCAGACTCTACTTCTAGGAAGAATGCAAATGGCAGCAAGGTCAGCGATCTAAGAAAGCAGAGGCAGGAGCTGGGTCACCCTATGGCCAGCTGGCAGTGAGGGCCTCATCACAGGTGCTAAATCCAGCATGGAGAGTCCCTGGCCCAACCAAGCAGTGCAATTGTTAAAACATTCTTTGGGGGTTAACAAATAATACATCAGCAGAAGAAAATGCATTCATTAGTGTAATGTTTTACATGTTCAAAAAATATGGGAAGAGAGAGTAATTATAGGAACAATTGAATTGGATGTCTGTTGTTTAGGGGAATTAAAGATTTGGGGAAAGATAATAAAAGGCAAACAGTGATTAATCAATTAAACGCTAGGAATAAAAGCCAGAAGTCCTTCTTGGTAGGCTGGAAAGAGACTGTTATCTCCTGTAGGTAGAGGGCACAAACAGCTGAGAACCAGGTCTAAATTTTAATCATGAAAATAGCAAGTTTCTGGAGGTTATTATGTTAAGTGAAATAAGCCGGGCACAGAAAGACAAATATCCCATATTTTCTCTCATATATCGGAGCTAAAAAATTGATCTCATGGAAGTAGAGGGTAGAATGATAGACACCAGTGTGTGGGAAGAGTTGTTTGTGTCAGGGGATGGGACGGGGGCGATGAATTGAGGTTTGTTAATGGGTGCAAGCATACAGTTAGATGGAAAGGATAAGTTCTAGTGTTTGTTTGATAGGGTGACTATAGTTAACAAAAATATATTGTATATGTCAAAAAAAAAGCTAGAAGAGAAGATTTGAAATGTTCCCAAAACAAAGACATGATAAATGATTGAGGAGATGGATATCTTAATTACCCTGATATGATCATTACACATTCTATGCATGTATCAAAATATCACATGTACCCCATAAATATGTACAAATATTAAGTATCAGTTATTTAAAAATCTTTTAAAAAAGAAAATAGCAAGTTCCAGAGAAAGTATAACTCTCAATGGACAGGTCTACTATACCAAAAATAGGGCACTTCTGGGGAGAGATTGGGTCCTGAGATATGGGAAGGGGACATCTTGGTTGATGCACTCAAAAATCTTGAATCCCCCAGTTCCCCTGAATGATTGGACCAACAGAAGTAGCCCACTTCTCTGAAGATGATGCAGAGGACTCGGCCTTGCAGAGCAACAAATACCCCTCTCAAGATCTTACCTCCCCTCCTGGCCGCCAGAACGATAACTAGGGTTAAGTAGCAACACAGTCCATCAAGGAATGCCAGTCTTGCTTCGGAAGGGAAGGATTCTTTTCTGAAGTAGCTATAGGGCATAGTCAACATGTGCCAGCTGGAACCAGTGCAGTAAGTAATGGATGGGATTCTGAAGGTTCTGAATCCAGGGGAGCAGACCATAAAATTGATTAGAGAGAGTTTATCAGTATGAGGGCACACTGCCTTAATCCAGACAGAGATTAATACTCTATCTTGGACCCCAGGAGATAGTTCTAACAGACCATCAGGGTGGCTCCTAGAACTATGGAAAAAGTGATGGCTCATGCTAAGAGGAAATGCTAGAATTGCCAATGCCAGGTGATAGAAGGAGTGATCAAAGAAGTGGGCATGCCAGACTATATAAGGCCAGAAAACCCTCTAGATGACTGTGGACTGTGGGAGAGCCTGGAAGAGCCTACATTTACCAAAGGAAGAAGGAATGTACTGGTGAGAGGGTCACAAGCATCATCAAGAAATTCAGTATTGCTTCTCCTCTTCTGTAGGCCAGGGCCAACTGAAGAAAGATGCTGTCAGAAAACTGGGCTCACTGACATCAATGTGAGTGACAGGATCCCCAAACAATAAAGGCTAAGTGGCAGTGCTTCACCATCAGAAGCAAGGCACAATTCTAATAACAAGCAGTAAGTCTGGAGCATCAGCCAAGGGGGCTGGCCCAACTTGAGTATGACGGTGATTAATAGAACCTTGTCCCCAGAGGAAATTTAGGTGAGTAGACAACAAAGGTTTTTCTCAATCTATATATTTAAAAGAAATAATGAATGGATAATCAGGACATGGAGGAAAGCTTCCACACAAAGTCATGATCGCTTACCCCATTTCTGGACTGGAGCCAGTTTTCATACCTGCATTTCATTCATTCTAGGGGAAATGACCCTGCAACACCATAACAGTGTGTATAGTAATGACTCTCTTGGTGCTTCTGTAAAGTTACCTATGTTCATTTCTTCTGGAAACCATACATTGAGAAAAGGGGAAGAGCCAAGCATATCTAAGACTGTTGGACACTGGAATTAAGTTAGCGCTGATGTCCAGGGACCTGATGCATCACCATGCTCCTGCCCCAGTTGAGAGCCAGGACATATGGGGGCCGCTAATAAATGGAGTTCTGGCTCAGATCAGTCTCACAGTAGGTCCACTGATTGTGCAGATCCTCCTGGTAGTCATTTGACTGATTCCTGATTCAATAATTGCAATAGGAATACTTTGTATTTGCCTAACCTCCATTTTGCTTCCAGTGGCATCACTGCTATTGTAGTGGGGAAGGTCAAATAGAATCCTTTGAAAGTGTCCAACCCCCTGGTCAAAGTGGTAAAGTCAAGGCAACATCACCTCCCTGGGGGTAATGGCAGAGATTACTGTCACCCTTAAAGAGCTGGCATCGGCTGGGTGCAGTGGCTCACGCCTGTAATCCCAGCACTTTGGGAGGCTGAGGTGGGCGGATCAAGAGGTCAGAAGTTCGAGACCAGACTGGCCAATATGGTGAAACCCCGTCTCTACTAAAAATACAAAAATTAGCCAGTGTGGTGGCACCTGCCTGTAATCCCAGCTACTCAGGAGGCTGAGGCAGGAGAATTGCTTGAACCCGGGAGGCGGAGGTTGCAGTGAGCCAAGATCGCACCACTGCACTCCAGCCTGGGCAGCAGAGTGAGACTCCCTCTCAAAAAAAAAAAAAAAAAAAAAAAAAAGAAAAGAAAAGAAAAGACCTGGCATCAAGTGGCTTCTTGGTTGCCCCAGTTGACTAGTTGACTCTTTGGATGGTGTCTGTTAATATGCTATAAGCTAGTTACTCTGGAGACCTTTTGTAATTGACCAAAATTCTCTCTATCCATAGCTAAAGTCTTTCACTAGCCATTAAATGTTGGCTTTCCTTAGGGTTTTGTCCTAGGCACCCTTTTCCACTCAATAAACTCTTTCTGGATGGTCACTATTGCTAGATGGTTTCAAGTACTAACTGTGGGCCAGTATCTCTGTGACTCATACCTTTAGGTTTCCAAAGCAGGTGGGTCCTATGAGCTCTAGACACACATATCCAGTGCCTATTATCAGAAGCCTCCTAGTCATCCCAAACTCAATATGTCCAAAATTAAACATATGATCTTCTTCCAGTAAAACAAATGAAACCAGGTTTCCTCCAATGTTCCTTTACTTATTACAGCACTTACATCCATCCAGTTACACAAGCTAGAGATCTATGTTGCTACGTCCTCCCTGCCTCCCTCAATCCACATCTAATTGTCCCTAGGTTCTGTCATGTTAATGTTAAATATCTCTCGAATCCATCCAGCTCTCTCTGTGCCCACCACCACCAGATACCCTGAGCTACAATTGTCTCCCAGCTGCTCTCCCTGTGTGTATCAAGGCCCTGTCCACCCCATCTTCACTATAGCAGGAGGGAGATAGTCAAAGGCAAATCTGATTATTTCCCTCCCACCAGCCTCTAAGATGACCCCCAATGCTCTTGTCTCTTGGTATCCACACCCTTGGTAATCCCCTCCCACATTGTATCAGAGTAGGTCTGTGTTTCCCATAGATTTTGGTAGAAATAATGGAATGTCACTGCCAAGATGAGGTTATAAAAGCCCTTTCCTGTTGGGCTGGCTCACACTCCCTCTTCTTACTTGCTCTGGGGGATATAGCTTCTCTGGGGCTTACAGCGGTTCTATGCTGAGTGGCTGTGCAGAGAGGCCCACAAAGAGGAACAGAGACCTCCTGAGTGATTCTGGAAGCAGATCTTCATCCCCAGTCAAGCCTCAAACAATGGGAGCCCCCGGTGCAATGATTGAAACCTCTTGTGGGACCCTGAGCTAGAACCACCCAGCTAAGCCATACCTGAATTCCTAACCCTCAGAAATGGCATGAGATAATAAGTATTTGTTGTTTGAAGCTGCTAAGTTTTGGGGTAATTTGTTACATCACAAAAAATAAATATCATCCAGTGATTTCCCAAAATTCTTTAACGTGGCTCTCAAGGCTCAATATGATCTGACCACTAACTATAATGTCTGCACTTCTGCCGCCATCTCCTCTCTGCCACAGACTGTACCTAGACTATCCTTCCGCCAATACTGTTACCACTCTGCACACACCGTTTCCACTGCCAGGAATGTGCTCCTCAGATTTGTTCATCAAAGTTAAAATCTACTTCCTCACATTTCAGTCCAAGCCCCTTCATGGAAGGCTACTTTTGTCTCCCAAATGATTAAGTCAAATCCTTCTTTTATAAGCCAGGATGGCCCCATTCACTTCTCTTTGAGGGCACTTGCCTGGTTTAATGATAGCTAATACTTATTGAGGAATTACTATGTGCCGGCACAGTCCTAAGTGCTTTGCATAATGCATATAAACCCTCACAACCATCCAGCAAAGTGCCCCCACTTTACAGATGAAGAAACTGAGGCACAGAAAGGTCCAGAACATTGCTGAAGGTCACCCAGTGAGTATGCAGATTTACATATTCTTGTGTGTTTATTTGAGTGCATCCATTGCTCCAGGAAACTGGATGCTCCATCATGGCAGACACCTCTTCTTTTTTTGCTCACAGTGGCCCTAAATCTTCTTTCCTAACTATCCCAATCGTATAACCATGGAGTTGTCAGGGAACCTAGGAAAGGCCTGAGTTACAGAATTTCCATGGGGCAAGGAACAAACAGACCCTTTAGCCCACTTTGAGATTTGGACATACAAAGGTCAAACTGTGTGTGGACAGGGGCTTCTTTTATGTGACCGGCTCTTCTGTTCCTTCCCTCTCTGCTAATACAGTCCTGCTGTTCTAAATGAACTCCAGAATAGCACAAAGTACAGGCAAGGAAGGTTTTCAGGAGGGAATACTGCCAACCAGGCAGGACTAGAGTCCTAGACATTTCCTCTCTGGGCAGCAGGAGCACATTTCATCAATGGCTGGGGTGTGGAGCCTTGGGCCAAAGGCTGAGGCAGACAGACTTCCAGGAGGATGAGGCCATCGCCGGAAGCCAACGCCCAGGACCCCACAGTCAACCCTCTGCCACTCAGGTCCTGCCAGACAGGAGCAGCAGGCACAGTCACCCAGGCAGAAGAGAGGATGGTGCACAGGGAGGGCATAATGCCAGATGGTGGAGCCGGACGAATGGCCAGCCAGCTGGCACCAGCCTAGTGCCAACTGTTAGTAGAGACCAAGCAGCACAGTAGAAGGTGGGATGTGGGGTGGCTCACCCCAGCTCCTCCCAGGGTGCTGGGGCTGACAGCCTGGGGTCCACCCTGGTGAGGCAGGACCCTCTCCTCCTCACACTGTGCAAGGAGCTCTGATCCTGGGTTCATAAGACGTTGGTTCAAACCCAACTGCATACTAGCATGTGACCTTGAGCAAATCACATTACTGTACTTGCTCTAACTGATTGGGCAGCTGCCATGAGAACAAATTAAGTTACATATATAGAGATGGTTTGCTAACAGCAAACTACAAATGAGTATCTACAGGGTGGCTATGACACTCCAAACACTCATCAATTGTTTTCTGTTTGCAGTCTACTTTTGAATACTAAAAGTGTGGGCCCACCTAAAGGGATTACAAAAGTATAGACCTGGTTCGCAGCAGTTACAGCTCCATCAGTACTGCAATTAACAGGGGCTCATGGTCTTTGTCAAAGCGGGCCTGGTCTTGCCATCGGTCCAGTAAACCTTCTCCCTGGGCCCGTCTCTGGCACTCACTGTTCCCCTTTTCTCACTCATGCCTGTTGCCGGAGTAATGTCCTCTGGCGATGGCTCTGGCCACATTGCGAAGCCTTCCCTCTTCACCCTCCCAACAAGTTTATCTCCATACACTCCATTCCCTTCTGCTTGGGGCCCATTCACACAAGCCCTCCCTGACAGATGTTAGAGTTAACAGTGTGTGTACTGAGTTGTAGCAAAAAATAAATTTAAACATGGATCAAAACTGGGCGGCTTGCTGAGGAAGTGTTTCCAATCCACCTGGGCATGCCACGTTTTGTTTGAACTCATTGGCTTCCACACCGGCTGTGTGATGGGGACATGCCACCCTAACCTCTCTGTGGGAATGCCAGGCAGACAGACGCAGAATGAGCTCCAAGGGCCCTGCTGGTAGTGCTCAGTCTTGAAAAGGTCTAGCGGTTTGAGTCTCTCTTCAATGAGATACTCTAGATTTTGTAACTCTGCAAAGTTTTTATTGATCTAACATAAGTCCATTTCATCTAAATGGTTATGGTTTCCCAGCTGTGAGCCAGATATTGTGCTAGAAGCTCATATAGAAATAGGAACCAGGCTGGGTGTGGTGACTCGTGCCTGTAATCCCAGCACTCTGGGAGGCCGAGGTGAGGGAATCCCTTGAGACCAGGAATTTAAGACCAGCCTAAGTGAGACACTGTCTCTATCAAAAAAAAAAAAAAAAAAAAAAAAAAAAAAAAAAAGAAAAGAAAAAAGAAAAGAAAAAAGAAAAGAAAAAAAAAGAAGAAAAGAAAGGGGACCCAGATACAGCCCTGCCTTCAAGGAGCTTACACACTGTACTAGAACGGTTTCCAAAGTAATGAGTAAGTTGTCTGGGCTGTACTAGAAGGCTCTACAGAGTAGGCAGCCTTTGAATAGGTTCCTAGGGTCTTAAAGAATAGTCAAGAATGCTGGGGCAGAGTTTAAAAAGACATAGGGCATGAAGGCACACACAGCTGGGCCATGGTGGGTGTTCTGGGTCAGCCTAACTCTGTCAGAGATGCTTCAGGAAACTTCCCAGCCAAGGCCTGGGCAGAGGAGACAGCTAACCCTCAGCTCCAGCTAAGTGTCACCATGTGGAAAGCAGGCTCAGCTTGGCCTCCTCTCTGAGCTTTCAAAAGATGTTAGCAATTCAGATTTCACACACACACACACACAAAAATTCCTTGATTTTTCATTGTTGGTGACCAATTCAAAGAAAAAAATGGCCATTTAGGCCAATTGCAACAGATGCTGTGGTGCCCCAAACACAGCCAGTCATCTTCCAGCTGCTCTGAGCATCGTGCTTCCTTCCCTTTCCCCAGCCTGCATTTCCCTTCACCCCTGCTCTGCCTCTCCCCTTCTCCAGCCTGCATATTTCTTCCTTCACCATCATAGGTGTTTCTCTCTTTTTCAAAGACAGTTCAGTAGAGTGGAACTGTCACAAGTTTTGAAGCCAGCCATCCTAGTAAAATTTCAAGCTGCCATTTACCATGTGATTTTAGGTAGGTTTTAGGTAGGTCTTGTTCTTAATGTCCTAAATGGGCAAAAGTGGGTAAGAATACCCACACCACAAAGTTGTTGCAAGATTACATGACATCAGGTCCATAAAGAGCTTGAAACACGGGTGCATAGTGAGTCTCCCTGCCCCCAGTTTGCTTCTTTTGTTTCATTTCTTCTTCCTCACTTTCTCTGTTGATTAGAAGAATTAGGCAGAATAAATGCTACGTAAAACACCAGATAAAATTTTCTTTACATTGTATTTTAAGAAAAACATGAAATTATATAACATAGTTTTTTATCTACATAGATTCTAATTTTTCTCTCTTTTTTTTTTTTTTTGGTATTTCATACCTATAAATTAGTGGGCAAAATTCCCAGTAAAGAAAGTTGTCATCAGAAGCCAAGAGTGTTCCAACAGTGGAGAGCCCTTGCGCCACCCAATGAAGTTACACCATGCACACCTGGTGAATCATAGCTTCCCTCCCAGAGGCTGTGTTCTCTTTACTTCCTAAGAAGCAATGGTGCATTCTCAAGAGCAATGAACATGAAGTAACGCAGAGCACATGCCAGACATCTGATCCTTCTGGCCATAGGTGCTGAGTCAGAGATAGAGCCTGGCACACCTCTTCTATCGTATTTTTCCATTTTTAATGTGCAAAGTGAGGTGCTATGCTAAAATCCTGTTTTCTTCCAAGTGTTTTATGAGGCTTGCATATGCACTCTGAATCATCATTTGATTTGGTTTATTACAAAGGATACAATTCAGAAACAGCCAGGTGGAAGAGATGCATAGGGCAAGGTGTAGGGAAGAGGCATGGAGTTCCCATGCCTCTCTGGGTGCATGACACCTCCCAATACCTTAATGTGTTCACCAATTTGGAAGCTCCACAGGTGTTTCCTGAAGATCTTCCAAAGCCAGGCCCCAGGCCCTGCCTCTATAGAACTGATCTGTCACCTGAGACTCCAAGTGCAGCCCAGAGGAGGTATTTGGAGCATCAGCTTGAAATTCTGTAGCTAGAGTTCAGAAGAGTAGGGTGTCAAACAGGAGCTAGAGAGAGGAGTTGCCTGGCTATGATGCTGGAAAAGAGGAAGGCCTGGTTAGGGTTAGTCCATTATCCAATACAAGGAAATTCGTTTTGAGAAATAAAATTAAATGCTAAGCCCCCCAACCTACTGAAAGGACCATCTCTTGGTCAAGGGGACCACAGAGCAACCTTGAAAACTGGCTTCTCAGCCATGATGGGATGGGAGATCAGACAGACCTAGTTATACCTGCTCCTTTGCTAACCACAAATAGACTTCCGTCCCTAAAGGCTGAGCAGATACCAGCCCTTTCAAATCCACCACTGATACCAACAAACTGTCTAACACTTCCCCTCCTTTTATGCCTCATAAGAGACTCAGCTACTCAGAAGGCTGAGACTGGAGGATCCCTTGAGCCCAGGAGTTCTGGGCTGTAGTGTGCTATACCAATTGGGTGTTTGCACTAAGTTTGTCATCGATATCGTGACCGCCTGGGAGTATGGGGCCACCAGGTTGCATAAGGAGGGGTGAACTGGCCCAGGTCAGAAATGGAGCAGGTAAAAATTCCTGTGCTGATTAGTAGTGGAACGTGCCTGTGAAAAGCAACTGCACTCCAGCCTGGGCAACATAGTGATACCTATCTGAAAAAAAATAAACAAATAAATAAATAAGAGCCCATCAGCCACCCAGTGGTTATGACCAATCTACAGAGAATTTCACATCCTCTGCTTTACCTTTTGATGTCAGAGGGCTGACACCTTCAACCCCAGGTCATGCTAACGCCACCATTATTTGTACATAGGACGAATGAAGGGGCCTGAAGCTCCACTGCACATGTGCATGTTTCTCTTTTCATGAATATTCATGATCCCTCCCATAGCCTATTGAATATGTATATTTGACCACTCCATTCAACATAATTTTTTTTTCCCTTTGCCCCTCCCTCAGAGTGCCTATTTCTGGCTTCTGGCTTCTGGCTTCTGGCCAGAGGCTACATTTCCCAGTCTGCCAGAATGGCCACCTGCAGGCTGCAACCCTTTATGAGAAATAAAGCTCCCTTTTCTAAATTTATGAACCTCATCATTTTTCAGTTGACAATTGTATGGGCACTGGGGAGCCACTGAAGGATTCTTTACTAAGAAGAAACATATCAAACTGGGCTTCAGAAAGATTATGCTGACTGCAGATGAATTAGATAAGACCCATACTGGGCATCTCTTGCTTGGATGATGCAGTAGCCTTCTAACTGGGCCTCATGCATTCACCTTTGCCCCACTTTAACCGAGCCTCAAATCAGCAGCCAGAGAGATCCTGACAAAATGTGTTAGGTGTGATTGCCAAGGCCTCTGAGGATGCCTCCCTTGTGGTCATGAAGGCTAATGTTTTTTCTACAGCCTTAATCCCTGTGCAACCTCCCTTAACCCTGTCCCCCCACTGCCCTCTCCTCGCTCCCTCCACACTGGTCACGCTCACATAGCCACCTGACCCCCTGCCCTTTCTGCAACCCATCGCCAGGCTCTCTCCTCATATTGTTGCACTTGCCCTTCCTGCTCTTCCCTCACCTATCACAGCACTGCTACCTCCCTCCTTCAGGTCCTCACTCAAGTGTCACCTCCCTAGGGAGGACTGCCCTGGCCGCTTTCCGTAAAATCACACTGTATGGCAGAAGCACTGAACAGCAATAACTTAAGCATATCCTAAGAATGACCCTCTGATCTGAGACGTATGTGTGTTTGTAGTTCCAAGCTACGAAATCCAAGAGTGGCCAACCTAGAGATTCACTCCTTATCTATGAAGAACATCCTAGCCCCTGGCCCATCCCTTGGAATGCAGGCTGTACAGCGGATCAAGGCCCTTTGTTTTGGTTGAAATGGAGGCTGCTAGGCAGAGGTTGATAAGTGAAAATGCTATATAAACTGCATGCTTTTTATAAACAGTAGCAGTTTTCCTGTCCAGCCCACCACCTCTGGATGACCCTGTGTATAAGTCCTCAATAAATCTTATGTCTTGTTTGCTGGCTCCAGGTTTGTTTTTTGGTCTTTTGAACACTGTGCCATCAGTATTGGAGTAAATAGAGCTTTGCATCACACACACACACACACACACACACACACAGGCACACACATGAACTCCCCACTTCATAGCTGGGCTGCAGAGCATCATGGCACCTGATCCAAGGAGCAAGCAGGTTCTGAATGGAGCCCTTGCTCCACTTGCCAAGGAATGTCCAAGTGTGGATTGCATTCCCTAGAGGAAGGGTGCTTTGACTGAGCATGAAGGCCAAACTATATCCTGCAGGAAAAGGGCACTGTTTTTTTTTATTTGTCTAGAATCTGCCTCATCCTGCATTCCATCCTCCTCCCTTTTACTTATCATCACCTTACATGTTATGTAGTTTATTTCTTTACCTTGTGTGTGTCTGTCTCCCCTGCTAAAATGTAAGCTCCATGAGTTTCAATCAATACTGTTTCTCCAGGGTCTAGAAAAATGCCTGATATGTAGTAGATGCTCAATAATATTTTTGAATGGATTATGAGTGAGTAGATGGAAGGCAGAAAGGTAGGAGAGAAGGAAGAAAAGAGAGGAGAGAGACAGATTAGAGGCAGGGAAATGCAGTCTATGTTCATAATTTATACGAGAGAGAATAATAACTAAGGTGGTGATACAACTGTTTTGAGTATAATCTTGTTTTCTCTGACCCTCTCCAGCAAATTGTATCACCCAATCAATCCCTGTAAACCTCTGGGTGAGACAGAGGAGGGACCCCCTCTTTTAGGGGCCTACAGACCCCAAGCATGGAAATAAAGGAAAATCCTGAGTTCCTTCCCGGGAAATTCCAGGCACCTAGCTAGCCCTGAGAAGTAAATAAGTAACCTGTTAAACAAGAAGGTAAAAGTAGCCTAAAACAATAGCTAAAGAAGTTAGAGTCCCAGAGATGTTTGCTCTCCCTATGGAAATTAAAGATAACATCTTAACATATGTCCCCGAGTTGTCTTTCAGAGGCTGGGACCCCCACAGGACTGATCCACTGGCACTTAGACCCCAGATGAGGGGGAAGTGAAGACTAAACTTTAACTATGGCTCTTTGTTCTAAGGTTCTTCCTAAGGGGCTTGGAGACAGTCACTACCCTAACATTTTTCTACTGACCCACAATTTTCAAACAAAGCTTCTCTTCCTTAATCAATTGCAAATCAGAAGATCTTTAAATCTACCTCTGCCTTGCAAGCCGGTGCTTCAAGATATCCGCACTTTTAGTCCAAAACCAATGCGTAACTTTAATGTGTTGATTGATCATTTTGCCAATAGTGTCAGCTCTCCTGAAATTTACCCCTCCTTTAAAAACCCTTACCTGCAAGCCATTAGGGAGTTTGGGTCTATAAGCCTGAGCTGCCCTGATTCTCCTTGCTTGATGCCCTACAGTAAATGCCTTCCTATCACGGCAGAAACCTCCGTGTGAGCGCCTGGTTTCATTGCACCGGGCGAGTGGATGCCGGATTGGTTCTGTAACACGAATATCACCATGCCCAGGACAGCGACTCCAAATTTCTACTGTCCTCAGTTTGATATGGTTTCTCTTTGGGCTTTGTGTCTGTTATTTCATTCTCTCGGTCCCCAGTTGTTTTTTTCATTTTAAAACCCATTTTTAACATCTCGCCCTCATTTCTCTCATTTGAATTTTCATTTAAGCCCAAGTGATTTTCTAATAGCTTGAGTCCCTTATTGAGTCATTTGTCTCAGAGCCAAATGCAGGGATGATGGCTCCGCTTCCTGTCTGTGTGGTTTAGCCGAGAGGCTTTTGTTTATGAGCCTGGGGTGCTGAGCAGTTTAAGAAAGTGCCCTTGGGCTGTGACTGCCCTGCCATTCTGAAGCGGTGAGCTCTCCTCATTGAAGAGAAGGGAGAGGCCTCTCCTGGCTCCTCTCTCCCCGCAACCAAAACACTTGCAATCTGGGTGGCAATTGATGCAATAAGGTTCACAGGTAAAAAGCTAACCAGGCTTTGACTTTTAAATGAAAGCCCCGTTCTGAAATGGAGCACAGCAGGTGGGCAGGAGCTGCACTCCTTTCCAAAGCTGTCACACATCTGTGCAGAGGCATGGTTTGGTGTTTTTTTTTTTTTTTTTTTTTTTTTTTGTAATCAGCAACAGCAGCAGCAGCCTGGGAACCACTCTGTACCTGCTGCTCAGGCTTAGCTGCTTCTCTGCAAATTATATTCAGTGGGAGGTCATTTTCTTGTTAGGGAGGGCCTGTGGGGGGGGGTTTCCCTGTCTCTAGGGACCAGCTTTGGAGACAGAACATTGCATTCCCCACCTGAAAATCCCAAATATGCATTTTCTACTTCTGAAAGGAAATCACTGTCCATGAAAGCTAAAAACACCCACTGTCCAGAAAATAATACACACATATGCATATGTGTACATATATAGAAATAGATAAAAGATGTATAATTGAATAATATATAGTGAATAGTATATTAATAATTAATAATAAAAATTAGTAATATATTATTCAAATTTGTCATCTAATTCATCCACCAATATAAGTTCTTTAAGATAAAGGATAAAAATTATGGTGACTGTACGTGTCTCTTCTCCTTGAGGTATTCAGGATCGGGTCGTTGTGGATTGGAGGATCCATGGGTAGATTTTTAAATTCAAAACTGGGGGCTAAGGCAGCTGTCTGGACAAACCCAGATTAATACATTAAAAATAAATAAAACCCAGAAGTGACTGGAATTGCCTTACTTGGAATGGCATGGTCTACATTTGCTGTTTTGTCAATGGAGAGTGAGACCGGGTATTTTCTAAGCTTCCTGGTCTCCCAGGAGAATTTTGTTTAGTTATTTAAATCGCAGCTTTTAAATTCCTGGCCAGCTGCCCAAAAGCTGTATTGTTGGACCTGCCTTTTGTCTTCTTCATAACTATGCTTACCCTCACAGGATCTTTAAGAGTTAAGGAATTGTCCTTCAGTGAGTTTTGGTCAAAGGAGGCAGAACCTGGAACTCAACATCAGCCCTTTCAGTGGGGCTTAGGCAACTTTCCGGATGGGAAGAGGGCTTACCCCCAGCGGTCTGTGTGTAGCTCTTCAGGCTGAAATGCCTGTCATCTGCTACAGATCAAATGCAGGACTAATTGGCACTCCTGAGCCAACTCATTTTTGGATGAGTTTCCTTCTGATGTTTCAAAGCATCTCAAAAGGCTCTTCTATAAATGATTCTCAAGGATCTTCGCAGAGAGAGATTAGTCTCTTAACTACAGTAGCAATAGGCTTTGGTCCAGATTTATAACCACTCTGTCTTTCATATTGAATACTGAAATCTAGGTTTAGTTTAATTTCTTCTAATTCCTTTTCAGTAACGTATCTTAGAAGCTTAACCAAAAAGAGGAGAATGAAGAAGGAAATCAACTCATTTGCCACTGTCAAAACAGTTATAAGGCGAAAGATTCATATGGTCTGAAGAGAAACCAGAGAATAACATAACTTAAAAATGATTTCAGGCACGTGCAAATGGGATAATTAACAAATATATCAAAATGAATGGGGGAAATTCTAATGCTGTAAGCTAGAAATTTCATGAAAACATGCCTGCAGAGAGCAAACTTTTTTTTTTTTAAGAAAGAAAACCATAATAATTATCATAAGGTCACTACCAAGTGCCAAACATCAGGCTGGATTTTTTAGAGGCACTAATGTATCTAATTTCCATGAAGCTTTTTCAAAGTAATTTCAAAGTATTCTCCCCATTTTACAGTAGGGGAAACTGAGACTCAGCAATATTAATTGACTTACCCAATTGATGGATAGTAGGTAAATTTGAACCCAGGGCTACTCAGCTCCAAAGTACATATCCTTTCTATTTACATAGCTGTCATTAAAAAAAAAAATCTAACAACGATAATGATGGCAATGATAACTCTAAAAATGTGTAAGATAAGAAATTTGAAGCACAATTATTTACAAATATTTTATACTTTTAAAAGACTATTCATTTCAGGTTTCTGAATGTCTGTATAAACATTAAACAATAGAATTTTCTGCAGTGAACATAAATATAAAAATTTTCTGCAGTGCACATAAATCAGGTAGTCACAAGATACAGAGAAATACTAAGCACTGAAATTGTGTTTTATGTGATCGAGTATCTCAATTCTTAATTTTATTTCATTTTGAATAATTAATAATTAATTATTTAATTTCTATTTAAATAACCACATGCTGTATGCCTAATGGATCAGGCAGCACCAGATCTACATATTTATAATTATGATGCTCAAAGACAAGTTCAGAAAGAGGAAATTTTAATGCAAACATAGTGCCAAAGTTGATATTTTTCGTTAATATCATTAATGAAATTCCTAGAAAATAGATGAGTCTCATGTAATTGCAGACTTACCCATGGGTGAGTCTTTATATTTATACTGTGGATTGAGAGTTAGTTCTCATAATGAATTCCTACATGCCATCAATGCCCAAATGGATTTAGGATACAATTTTAATTCTCATGTCTACAATTCTCACGTTGACAAGGGACACATTTTATTTTATAATAGTAAATTTAAATATGGCAGAGGAAAGGATTTTTTTTTCACTACACACACACACACACACACACACACACACACACATCTTTCCTGAAAGACTTTTTTTTTAAATTATAAACATACAATCCAGATTCCAGTTATTCTAAAAACCAAACACTTTTTTTGTTGTTGTTCTTTATTTTGTAATGTATGATAGTGTGTGATGTGGTTTGGCTCTGTGTCTCCACCCAAATCTTATATCAAACTTTAATCCCCATATTCCCCATGTGTCAAGGGAGGGACCTAGTGGGAGGTGATTGGATCATGGGGGCAGCTCCCTCTTGCTGTTCTCGTGATAGTGAGTGAGTTCTCACGAGATTTGATGGTTTTATAAGTGTTTGACGATTCCTCCTTTGCACATACTCTCTCTCCTTCTGCCTTGTGAAGAAGGTGCCTGCTTCCCCTTCTGCTGTGATTGTAAGTTTCCTGAGGCCTTCCCAGCCATGTGGAACTGTGAGTCA
This sequence comes from Homo sapiens, assembly GCF_000001405.40. NCBI lineage: Eukaryota > Metazoa > Chordata > Mammalia > Primates > Hominidae > Homo > Homo sapiens. The sequence goes on from NC_000001.11 coordinate 232,229,543, forward strand.
ATCAAATCTCCTTTGTTTCTAAACTACCCAGTCTCAGGTGGTTTCTTTATAGCAGTGTAAGAATGGATTAACACAATATGTGAATTTCATGCGCGTCCGTGTGAAGAGACCACCAAACAGGCTTTGTGTGAGCAACATGGCTGTTTATTTCACCTGGGTGCAGGCGGGCTGAGTCCAAAAAGAGAGTCAGTGAAGGGAGATAAGGGTGGGGCTGTTTTATAGGATTTGGGTAGGTAAAGGAAAATTACAGTCAAAGGGGGTTGTTCTCTGGTGGGCAGGGGCGGGGGTCACAAGGTGCTCAGTGGGGGAGCTTCTGAGCCAGGAGAAGGAGATTCACAGGGTTAATCACGCAGTTAAGGTGGGGCAGGAACAAATCACAATGGTGGAATGTCATCAGTTAAGGCGGGGCAGGGCCTTTTCACTTCTTTTGTGATTCTTCAGTTACTTCAGGCCATCTGGGCGTATACGTGCAAGTCACAGGGGATGCGATGGCTTGTCTTGGGCTCAGAGGCCTGACATTCCTGCCTTCTTATATTTATAAGAAGAATAAAACAAAATAGTGTTGAAGTGTTGGGGTGGCGAAAATTTTTGGGGGGTGGTATGGAGAGAGAATGGGCGATGTTTCTCAGGGCTGCTTCAAGCGGGATTAGGGGCGGCGTGGGAACCTAGAGTGGGAGAGATTAAGCTGAAGGGAGGTCTTGTGGTAAGGGGTGATATTGTGGGGATGTTAGAAGAAACATTTGTCGTATAGAATGATTGGCGATGGCCTGGATAAGGTTTTGGATGAATTGAGAAACTAAATGGAATAACAGAAGGAGAAAAATAGGTATAAAAGGTCTAAGAATTGGGACGACTCAGGATATCTGATTAGAGAGTGCCTAAAGAGATTCAGCATAGTCCTGCCAGCAAAGATTATTTATTTACTTCAAGAGTTAAGAGTGGCAGTCTGGGGATAGCACCAGGAGATATCAGCTGTGACGGCTTGGAAACACAGTGTAAACCGGCAGTGTAAACAAGAGCAGGGCATGTATGAGTAGTTGAGAACGGTGAATAGGAGAGTATGACTAGATAGAAGATAGTAGGGATGACAAGTTTTTTGGGGCACAGTCTAAGTTGGTCTGGTGTCTGGAATGAGACTGGGGCCTAATAAAAAGGAGCAACTATACAGGAGCTTAAATGGGCTGTACCCTGTAGCATTCCGAGGACAGGCCTGAATTCTGAGAAGGGAAAGTGGTAAAAGTATTGTCTAGTCCTTTTTAAGTTGGTGGCTGAGCTTGGTGAGGTGTGTTTTTAAAAGACCTTTAGTCCGTTCTACTTTTCTTGAAGATGGAGGACCGTAAGGGATATAAAGGTTTCACTGAATACTAAGAGCCTGAAAAACTGCTTGGCTGATTTGACTAATAAAGGCTCGTCTGTTATCAGACTGTATTGAGGTGGGAAGGCTAAACTGAGGAATTATGTCTGACAGAAGGGAAGAAATGACTGCTGTGGCCTTCTCAGACCCTGTAGGAAAGGCCTCTACCTATCCAGTGAAAGTATCTACCTAGACTAAGAGGTATTTTAGTTATCTGACTCAGGGCATATTGAGTAAAGCTAATCTGCCAGTCCAGGGTGGGGGCAAATCCTCGAGCTTGATGTGTAGGGAAGGGAGGGGGCCTGAAGAATCCCTGAGGAGTAGTAGAATAGCAGATGGAACACTGAGAAGTTATTTCCTTGAGGATAGATTTCCACGATGGAAAGGAAATGAGAGGTTCTAAGAGGCGGGCTAGTGGCTTGTACTATAGTATAACCTGCCTTTGCTGGTGAGTGGCGATTAGGCCTGGTGGAACCGCCAGCAATAAATCAAGCGTGATCAGGGTGAGGAACAGGAAAGAAGGAAATTTGGGGAAATGGGGTGAATGTCAGGTGGATCAGAGAGATACAGTCATGGGGGTCAGGTGTGGTATCAGGAATAATGTGGGAGGCCAGATTGAAGTCTGGGCCAGGAACAACGGTAATTGTGGGAGACTCAACAAAGAGTGAGCACAGCTGAAGGAGCCGGGAAGCAGAAAGTATATGTGTCAGGTGTGAGGAAGAAAATAGATTTTGGAAGTTATGAGAACTGTAGAGAGTGAGTTGAGCATAGTTTGTGATTTTGAGGGCCTCTAAAAGTATTAAAGCAGCGGCAGCCGCTGCACGCAGACATGAGGGCTAGGCTAAAACAGTAAGTTCAAGTTGTTTGGACAGAAAGGCTACAGGGTGTGGTCCCGGCTCTTGTGTAAGAATTCTGACCGCCCTAACCATGCCTAGGAAGGAAAGGAGTTGTTGTTTTGTAGAAGGTGCTGGGGTTTGAGAGATCAGTCGGACACGATTGGCAGGGAGAGCACGTGTGTTTTTATGAGAATTATGCCGAGATAGGTAACAGATGAGGAAGAAATTTGGGCTTGATTGAAGTAATGGGGGCTGTCTGTGAAGCTTTGCGGCAGTACAGCCTAGGTAATTTGCTGAGCTTGATGGGTGTCAGGGTCAGTCTAAGTGAAAGCAAAGAGAGGCTGGGATGAAGGGTGCAAAGGAATAGTAAAGAAAGCATGTTTGAGATCCAGAACAGAATAATGGGCTGTGGAGGGAGGTATTGAGGATAGGAGAGTATATGGGTTTGGCACCACGGGGTGGATAGGCAAAACAATTTGGTTGATAAGGTGCAGATCCTGAACTAACTTGTAAGGCTTGTCTGGTTTTAGGACAGGTAAAATGGGGGAATTGTAAGGAGAGTTTATAGGCTTTAAAAGGCCATGCTGTAGCAGGCAAGCGATAACAGGCTTTAATCTTTTTAAAGCGTGCTGCGGGATGGGATATTGGCGTTGAGTGGGGTAAGGGTGATTAGGTTTTAATGAGATGGTAAGGGGTGCATGATCGGTCACCAAGGAGGGAGTAGAGGTATCTTATACTTGTGGGTTAAGGGATACAAGAGGAGGAGTCAGTCAGAGAGCCCTGGGCCAGAGTTCCCGGGGCTCTGGGAGTGGCTGCCAGGTGAGTTGAACAGTCCGATTTTCAGTGGGGTCCCACATAGATGGGACGCGGCTTAGGAGGAATCCTGGGCTGCGGGCATTCCTTGGCCCAGTGGCCAGATTTCTGGCACTTGTAGCAAGCTCCTGTGGGAGGAGGTTCTGAAGGAACGCCTGGCCGCTGCGGTTCAGGCGTTTGGAAGTTCTTGTGTGCTGGAGATGTGGCTGGGGTTTGTCTCACAGTGGAGGCAAGGAATTGCAACATTTTCTATTATTGTACACCTTGAAGGTGGGTTAATTAAGTCCTGTTGTGGGGTTTGAGGGCCAGATTCTAATTTTTGGAGTTTTATTTAATGTCGGGAGCAGATTGGGTAATAAAATGTATATTGAGAATAAGACGGCCTTTTGACCTTTTAGGGTCCAGGGCTGTAAAGTGTCTCAGGGTTGCTGCCAAACGAGCCATGAACTGGGCTAGGTTTTTATATTTGATGAAAAAGAGCCTAAACGCTATCTGATTTGGGATAAAGAAAAAGGAGCATTAACCTTGACTATGCCTTTAGCTCTAGCCACCTTTTTAAGAGTAAATTGCTGGGCAGGTGGGGGAGGGCTAGTCACGGAACGAAACTGTAAGCCGGAGCAGGTGTGAGGAGGGGAGGTGATAAAAAGATTATAGGGTGGAGGAGCGGAGGCTGAGGAAGAATTGGGACCTAGCTCGGCCTGGAGAGGAGCAGCCTGGGGAGGAAGGGACAGGTCAGATAGGTCTGTAGAAAAGGGAGATTAGAAAGACTCAGCGATGCTTGGGGTTGGTACTGAGGAGACAGGTGGGAGGGAAAGAAGGAAGGTTTGGGACAAGTTGCACTGGGCACAGAGACTAGGAAGGGACTGATGTGTAAAAGAATGCCTGGACATCAGGCACCTCAGACCGTTTGCCTATTTTATGACAAGAATTATTTAGATTTTGCAGGATGGAAAAATTCAAAGTGCCATTTTCTGGCTATTTGGAACTACTGTCAAGTTTGTATTGGGGTCAAGTGGCATTGCAGAAAAAAATAAGGCATTTAGGTTTTAGGTCAGGTGTGAGTTGAAGAGGTTTTAAGTTTTTGAGAACAGAGGCCAAGGGAGTAGAAGGAGGAATGGAGGGTGGAATGTTGCCCATAGTGAAGGAAGCAAGCCTAGAGAAAAGAGAGAGTAGAGAAATGGAGGGAAGGGGTTTGGGGGTTCTTACCTTCCAGAAAAGTGGGAAAAGGGGTTGGGGCGCAGAGATAAGAGGTCGGGGCGTGGAAATAAGGGATTGGGGCGCAGAGATATAAGAGGTTGGGGCACAGAAATAAGGGATTAGGGCACAGAGATAAGAGGTTGGGGCGTGGAAATAAGGGATTGGGGCACAGAGATAAGAGGTTGGGGCATGGAAATAAGGGATTGGGGGTTCTTGCTCCATAGAAAAGCAGGACTTGCCACTAAGGGTGAAGGAGAAGGGGTTGAGGGATACTTGCCCCTCTCCCAGAAAAGCAGAGAAGGGGTAGAGACAAGGAGAGAAGGGGTTGAGGTACTTGCCCCTTTCCCGGAAAAGCGGGACTTGCAGCTAAGGGTGAAGGACCAAGACAGGCTTCCCTGAGTGGTCTGACACCCTTGAAACGTGGGTGTATAATCAGAGAGGCGTCCCTGCAATGATTAAACACCAAGGGAAGGCTGCCTTCCCAGTCCGTGACCGGCACCAGAGTTTTGAGTCCACGGATAAAACGTGTCTCCTTTGTCTCTCCCAGAAAATGAAAGGAATTGAAATTAAGAGAAGGGAGAGATTGAAGAGTGGAAAGGAGAAAGTGGTTGAGGGACAATGAGAAAGGTTGGAGAAGAGAGTAAGAAGAGGCCGCTTACCTGATTTAAAATTGGTGAGATGTTCCTTGGGCTGATCGGTCTGAGGACCTGAGGTCATAGGTGGATCTTTCTCATGGAGCAAAGAACAGGAGGACAGGGGACTGATCTCCCAAGGGAGGTCCCCCGATCCGAGTCACAGCACCAAATTTCATGCGCGTCCGTGTGAAGAGACACCAAACAGGCTTTGTGTGAGCAACATGGCTGTTTATTTCACCTGGGTGCAGGCAGGCTGAGTCCAAAAAGAGAGTCAGCGAAGGGAGATAAGGATGGGGCTGTTTTATAGGATTTGGGTAGGTAAAGGAAAATTACAGTCAAAGGGGGTTTGTTCTCTGGCGGGCAGGAGTGGGGGTCGCAAGGTGCTCAGTGAGGGTGGTTTTTGAGCCAGGATGAGCCAGGAAAAGGACTTTCACAAGGTAATGTCATCACTTAAGGCAAGGACCAGCCATTTACACTTCTTTTGTGTTGGAATGTCATCAGTTAAGGTGGGGCAGGGCATTTTCACTTCTTTTGTGATTCTTCAGTTACTTCAGGCCATCTGGGCATATACGTGCAAGTCACAGGGGATGCGATGGCTTGTCTTGGGCTCAGAGGCCTGACAGTGAAGATACGACCTCCAAGATGTTATCAGAGAGACTCTGACCCACAATCGCTCAGATAGGTTACATTTCCCCCCTGTGCAGGGGAAGCTATTTCTGCTTCATCCAGATCCCTTTCCTGGCTGTCACCCATCCCTCAAATGCTGTGAGTGTTGCCTGCTAATGGCTGAAAGCTGTCCCTTCTCTAAAGAATGGCCATGGAAAAATGGGAACCCCTAGCCCAGGAGATTACACCTTCCTACATTCCACCCTCATTCATCTTTAGGGAATGACAGGCTGATGGAGGAGCAGGTTCCAAAAGACCAATCTCCCTAGTCAAAGTAGAACCAATTTTATGGTGCAATTCTTGCTCCAGAGCTTCCTGTAGGATCAGGCTGTTGGTAGTCTCCTGCTGAGACTATATCTTTCCTTAACTCCTTGTCATAGTCTATTCTGGCTGCTATAATAAAATGTCATAGGCTGGGGGGTTTATAAACAACAGAAATTCATTGCTCACAGTCTGGAGGCTTGGAGAGCCAAGATCAAGGTACTGGCATACTCAGTGTCTGGTAAGGGCCCACTTTATCATAGGTGGTGCCTTCTCTGTGTCCTCATATGGTGGAAGAAGTGGACAAGCTTGCTTGGGGCTATTTTATGAGGGCACTAATCTCATTTCCGATGGCCCCACCTCCTGCTACCATCACTCTGGCAATTACTTTTTTAACATGTGAATTTTAGAAGGACACGAATATTTAGACCATCACCCTCCTCCTCGGTCCTATCTTACTTCCCCATCCCTTCCCCAGATACCACAAGCTCAATAAGTCACATGCACCTGAATCCTTGTCTCAGGTCCTGCTTCTAGGAAACCTGCCTAAGACGCCATCTCAAGGACCTGAGTTATTTGCATGACCGAGAAGTTGCCTGTCAATGTCTGGGCTCACATGTTCCTCCTCAGAAAAGTATAGAAGGTATTTTCACTAATAAGCTTTGAGAAACAGTAAACTTTTGTTTTTTCTTTTCTGTGCAAAAATTTATCTAAGACATTCCAGAGGCAAAAGGGTTATGTGATATCACCACAGCCTAGATTTAGAATACAAACCCAACTACAAAATTGAGGCTGTCACTCCTGCCTAATCAGTCAAAATGGAAGTGGTCAATTGGAGTAAGTATATATTCTGGCTACAGTACAATTTAGAGAGGCATAATGGCTAATTTTATGCATCAACTTGACTGGACCACGGGGTGCCCAGACATTGGGCTGACCATTATTCCCATGTGTCTATGAGGGTGTTTCTGGATGAGATTAGCATTTGATTCAGTAGACTGAGTAAAGCAGATTGCCCTCCCTAATGTGGGTGGGTCCCATCAATAAGTTGAAGACCAGAATAGAACAAAACAGCTAAGTAAGAGAGAATTCCTCCTGTCTAATTGATTGAGCTGGGATACTGGTCTTTTTCAGCCTTTGAACTTAGTTTAAAACACTGGCACTTCTTGGGTCTTGAGCCTGCTGGCTTTCAGACTGGAACTTACACCATCCACTTTCCTGGCTCTCAGGCCTTTGGACTCAGACTGGGAGTATCCTATCAGCTTTCCTGGAGATTTGGCTTGCGACTATAGATCTTGGAACTTCTCAGCCACATAAACTCATGAGCCAATAACTTATAATGAATGCCATTTTTTATCTACATGTATTCTATAACCAGATAGATAGATTGATTGATTGATCATCAATCATAGATAATCTCCTATTGATTGTGTTTCTCTAGAGAACCCTGCCTAATATAGAAGGTAAATTTTACATAAGCTGATTGTTTAAGATTTAGATTCAATAGAAAAGGAGGCAAAAGAGTACATAGCAGGTTTTATATATAAAGTTATGATAACAACATCTCATTTCTTAAGCATACAAGTACACACATGCACACACACACACGCACGCGCGCGTGAAGGGCTTAGACCAGAGGAAAGGAAATATGCATTCTGTATGTCCTGTGTTGGCCCCAGTCCCACTGACTATTAAACAAGAACAAAAGCACTTATTTAGAATATACAATGATTTGGTAGAAAACAAAGTGTCAATTTATTCATCCATATTGAGAAATAAAACCATCAAGCAGATTGGATTCTGATGTTTGCTGTTCAGTTTATTCTACCCCTGCAGGCAAATTTACAGGGGAAACTAAATTAAAACTAGGATCTTTTATTGTCTGAGGAGCAGAAGGGATTTGGATGACTCTCCACGCAGAAGTCACTCATCTATGACTACCTGACTTTCCGCTCTTCCTGTAGGGCATGCCAGCTGCAGAGTGGCTTGGACCAGGCCTCTCTCCCCTGAGCAAGGATAGAGGCCCCTTGCCAGCAGGAGCCTCTCTCGTTGTCATTTTTCCGGACTTTCTTGGCTGGCCAGCTCCCTTTTGTCTAACTGCCATATTTTATATGTTTTTTCTGTAACTTTTTTTGGTCTTGTTTATTTTTTTATGATGTCAAAGATATATGATCATTTATAAAATCTTTGGACGAAGTAACAATTTCTCACCACCTAGAGATAATCACTGAGAAATGAGAGCAAAGTGAGTACCTGCCTTGTAGTGAAGAATAAAGGAGCATGCATGGAATTGAGGACATTGCCCAGGGCATGGAAGAGCTCAGAATTATCTTTCTCATACCTTTTTAAATATTCTTATATCAAGTTTCAGCAAACTTTTTCTTTAAATAGCCGGATAGCAAATAATTTAGACTTTGTGGGTCCCATGGTCTTGCAACTACACAACTCTGTCACAGTAGTGTAAATGCAGCCACAGATACTGTGTAACGAATGGTTGTGTCTGTGTTCTAATAAAACTTTATTTACAAAACAGCCCGCATGCCACCTTTGGCCCAAGGGCCATAGTTTGCCAACCTCTAATCTACATCATCATCTAAAATGGCTCCAGAGTAAATAATGTATTTTATTATTAAGAAAAACTTTTATTTTCTGGTAAAATAATTTACAAATGCTTCTCTCTTTGCTTTTCAAATGTGCCTTTTTTTCAGTATCAGGATCAATTTATAAATAATTGCTCAATATAACTTCTGGGTGTGCTTCAGGCATGAGAAGTGGGGCATGTTTCCTGATGGCAAGTGTTGACAGAACATCTACTCGGGCAGAGTGTGCCCAGTGACCCAGCCATCTGTCCTCTCAGAATGCACCACACGGGTTTCCTAGAATGCATACACAAGGGTATTCATGGCAGAATGGTGTAATTCCCAGGAGCTGAATGCAATCCAAACACCTGTAGAGTTAGAAAGGATAAATTGCATATTATAACATAAAATATTATACGGCAATGACAAAGAACTAACTACAACTGCATGCAACAGCATGGACGCCTCTCACAAACATAATGCTGAGTGGAAGAAAGACAGCATGCAAGCAATTTGATTTTATTTTCATACAGTTCAAAAACTAATCCATGATGTTGAAATCACATAAGTGGTTTTCCTTGGGAGAGAGGTAGTTAGTGGCTAGAAAGGATAGGAAAGGGCTTCTGGGGTGCTAATAATCTATTAGTCTGGGGACTGATTTCACAAGCAAATTCACGTTTATGAAGGTCTATTTAAATGTGTTAAAAATTACAGCAGTTATTTTAACAACTACCTTTATGAAAAGAAAGCCACATGGCAGTCACTGTGCACTTGACACCAATTGTCTATGTCATCCTCACAAAACTCCTCCAAGGTGTTTTCTCAGCCCCATTTTATAATGAAAACCAAGGCTCAGAGAGGTTAAGAAACTTGCTCAAAGTCACACAGTTAGTGAGTGGCTGAACTTGATGGTATTCTGCAAACAGACACCAGGATAAAAATATACAGCTTTAAGAAATCAGTCTATAAACTGGGTATCCTAGTGGCACCATGTTATGAGATTTTTGAAGAGGGAGAAATCTTGGAGATGAGAGACGGAGGTGACACCTGTGCTGTGTTGAGAGGCAGGAGGAAAGAAGGAGGTGTATGCGCAAGGCTGAAGCGCCTCAGTATCTAAGTACCTCCCCCTCCCCTTCAGTCTGTACTGCCACAGTTCAGACAGGGGGATTGGAAACAGAAAGGTTTCTCCTGCTCAGCTCATTGATTCCCTTTCAAAATATACACCAGCTCTAGCATGGCTCAACACGGAAGCAATGATTTCTTCTGGAAGGAAGCAATGATTTCTTCTGGAAGGAACCAATGGTTCCAGAATGAATCCACGCACAGACATGGCCTCTGTGGCTATGGTCTTAGATGTTACATTTGTAATCAAAGCAGAAAAAGCCCTGACTCTGGGTGAATAAATATGGATAAAAACTAAGAAATCCATTTAACCAGTCTTCTCTAGAACTACTATAGGTCCAATTCTGTCCATTGGCCCCTCCTCTCTCCTAGAAACTCGTATTAAAGAGTCAGTATTTGCAAGCTTGGTGCTAGACACTACAACATCTTATTTTTTTAAATGATGGTCTCAATGTAACCTGGCTCATATAGAAGCTTGTGGAAATATTCATATGTCCCCAAATAGAAATAGGAGAGTCTATGACCCAATAAACAAATACTGCAAAAAACTTGTAACTTTGAAATAAAGTGTATCTGCAGCACAAGCAGTAGAACTTGAGAATTTGCAACATTTATCTGAATCCCTGAAGGTATCAATAAACTTTTATATGGGGCAAACAGTCTAGATGCTAGAAAATATACACCATAATGTTTTATGTTTTATTTAGCTTCAGTACATAAATCCCCCCGGTCCCCACAGACAAGTACTGGTGGGCTATGACTTCCGGCATTTAAAGGGATTCTCAGACATTTATCTTAGCCATTCCAGTGTGATGCTTTCTCTCTTTATTGTGGTATCAGTTACTTCGGGCTTTGGGGAATTTGTGATTGCTGTTTTCAAAATTCTCTTTGCAGAATTTAATGAAGTCAAAATTATACAAAAGAATCATTTTTGAGAGAAGTGAGTCATCTATGTTCTCTATCCGAAGTGCACATAGAAATCCATTGCTTTAATTGTATCTTCTCTTTCATACTGGTTTGTTTATGTACATATATGCCAGCAAAGAAATAGCTATTATGGCTGTAAATTGTGCCTGATACGAGATTAATAGCTATAAAAATAGTCCTCGAGGGAATTAGGGGTCTGGTTTAACCATCTCTGTAATGTTCCTACTTCAAGAGCAATATTTCACGGGTGTTGTAAAATTTATAAGACTATATTCACGAGGTCTGCTTGGTTCCAACTAGACAAGACTGGTTGTTTATCTTAGCATTCAGTGTCTAATAGGAGCTGCCTTCATGATATTCCAGGTGTCACAATAAACACACGGTACGAGTGTTTATAGAAGCTGTACTCAATACTGGATCACAGAGCTTACTCTGAAGGTGAAGGAAGAGATCAATAAAAAACTGCCCTCCTCCTTCAATAATGACTCAGGAGGGCAGAGGAGGGTAGCCTGGACATGTTGGGGGAGGAGAGGGTCAGGTCATCATAACTGCCACTTCATTAACCCCCCACAGGCTGGAGAGGAAGGGGGAATGGAATATACGCTATGTGCCTCTCATTTTTGGGCTGAAGGCATACAGCTAACTCTACTGGTGTGCTGAGACAGCTTTTACCAGCTCTCAGGAGCGTATTTCTAAATTTTCAGAAATTTTGTGAGCCTGTTGTTCAACACTGCCTTTATGAAAAATTGAATCATGCAAACTTACAATTAAATAAAATATACTTAACAAAATTAATAAATGCTCAAAATTCTTAATTTCCTAATCATTGTGCTACATTTTACTATTATCTATGCTTAGTCTTTATCTACATCTCTTGTCTATAAGATGGAAATACTGAAATGGTATGCAACTGGACAACTGTACAAATTTTCCTGGTTGTACAACCGCACAGTCAGGAAAATCAGGTTGGTAGCTTGTCCCTTGCTGGGAGTATTTACACCACAGAAACTGGCAAATACTACATCTCTTGGTGTGTGTGTTTGGTGTGGGATAGCCAGTTAAACATATTCCATTGGTCTATATGTCTGGTTTTATGCCAGTACCATGCTGTTTTGTTGCTATAGTTCTGTAGTATGATCTGAAGTCAGGTAATGTGAGGGAGTTTACCAGCACACCATAGCCGAATCCCCTTTTTGCTGTGGTTTTTTTCCTAACACCCTAGTTGCTGATCACAATCGCCACTTGTATCCCCTCCTCACTTTCTCTGCCATTCTCTGGCTACCATTTCTTGGAACAGTTGAACAGGCCTTCCTGCTGTGGTTAAAGGAGAACCAAAAGAAGGAAAGATGAAAAGATGGTTGCCATCTTCCATGTGGCCCTTCATAGTGAGGTAGCAGACTGGCAGGACTTATTTCCTGGTCCCAACAGGATGAAATAAGGAAACTGGCTAGAACCAGCATATGGCACTGAAGGTAACCTCTGGTTGCCCTCACTGCTCATCGGCACTCACACTCATATTACCTGGCTTCAAATCATACTACAGAGCTATAGTAACAAAACAGCATGGTGCTGGAATGAAAATAGACACACAGACCAATGGAACAGAGTAGAGAACCCAGAAACAAGTCCATACACCAACAGTGAACTCATTTTCAACAAAGGTGCCAAGAACATACACTGAGGAGTCTCTTCAATAAATGGTGCTGGGAAAATGGGATATCCATACACAGAATGAAACTAGACTCCTATTTCCTATCTCTTGCCAAATACATAAATCAAATCAAAGTAGGTTAAAGACTTATATTTACGACCTCAAACTGTGAAACTACTACAAGAAAACATTGGTGAAACTCTCTGGGACATTGGTCTGGGCAAAAATTTGACTAATATCCCACAAGCACAGGCAACCAAAGCAAAAATGGACAAATGGGATTACATCAAGTTAAAAAGCTTCTGCATGACAAAGTAAACAATCAACAAAGTGAAGAGACAACCCACAGAATGGGAGAAAATATTTTCAAACTACCCATCTGACCAGAATATATAAGGAGTTCAAACAACTTTATAGGAAAAAAATCTAAAATATGTTTAAAAATGGGCAAAAGATCTGAATAGACATTTCTTAAAAGAAGACACACAAATGGCAAACAGGCATATGAAAAGGTGGTCAACATCATTGATCATCAGAGAAATGCACATCAAAACTATAATGAGACATCATGTCACTTCAGTTAAAATCTCTTAAATCCAAAAGACAGACAAAAGCAAATACTGGTGAGGATGTGGAGAAAAGGGAAGCCTCGTACACTGTTGGTGGGAATGTAAATTAGTACAACCACTATGGAGAACAGTTTGGAGTTTCCTCAAAAAGCTAAAAATAGAGCTACTATATGATCCAGCAATCCCACTGCTAGGTATAGACCCAAAAGAAAGGAAACCAGTATATAAAAGAGATATCTGAACTCCTATGATTGTTGCAGCCCTGTTCACAATAGCCAAGATATGGAAGCAACCTAAGTGTCCATCAGTGGATGAATAGATAAGAAAATGTTGTCCGTATACACAACACAGTACTATTTGGCCATAAAAAGAATGAGATCCTGTTATTTGCAACAGCATGGATGGAACTGGAGGTCATTAAGTAAAATAAGCCAGGTGTAGAAATGCAAACTTCGCATGTTCTCACTTATTTGGGGGAGTCAAAAATTAGAACAATTGAACTCATGGAGGTAGAGAGTAGAAGGATGTTTACCAAAGGCTTGGAAGGGTAGTGGAGGGCTTGGGGGACAAGTGGGGATCGTAAATGGGTATAAAAAGTAATCAGAAAGAACGAATAAGACCAAGTACTTGATAGCACAACAGACTGACTATATATAGTCAATAATAATTTTTATTTTTATTTTTTATTTTTTTTTTTGAGATGGGTCTCACTCTGTCACCCAGGCTGGAATACAGTGGTGCAATCATGGCTCACCGCAGCCTCGACCTCTCTGGGCTCAGGTGATCCTCCCAAATAGCTGGGACTACAGGTGTACACCATCACACTTGGCTAGTTTTTTATTTTTATTTTTTGTAGAGACAGGGCTTTGCCATTACCCAAGCTAGTCTCAAAACCCCTGAGCTCAAGAGATCCACCTGCCTTGGCCTCCCAAAGTTCTAGAATTACAGGGATGAGCCACTACCCCCCGCCTTATAGTCAATAATAACTTAATTGTACATTTTAAAATAAAGAGTATAATTAGTTTGTAACACAAAGGATACATGTTTGAGGGGATGGATACCTCATTTACAATGATGTAATTATTACACATCGCATGTCTGTATCAAAGTATCTCATTTACCCCTTAAATATATACACTATGTACCCACAAAAATAAAAAATAAAGACACTCCCACCAGCGCCATGACAGTTTACAAATGCCATGGCAACACCAGAAGTTAACACCTATTTTCTAAAGGTTTCTGGATAACTTGCTCCTTAATTTCCTTGCAATTAAAAAGTGGGTATAAATACAGCTACCCAACAGCCTATGGGTTAGCCTTGCTCCTGAAAAAGCAGCCACTCTGCTGTACACTGCTGCTTCAATAAACCTACTTTCCTCCACTGTCAGCTTGCTGTTGAATTCTTTCCTGAGTGAAGCCAAGAACCCTCCCAAGTTAGGCCCCACTTTTGAGGCTCACCCGCCCTGCCTCATAAATGTGGATTAAATTCCCATTATTAGTGTCCACTGTTGTCATCCCAAGGCCTGTATGCCTCCTCCTGCCCCACTCTTCCACCCACAGCCCCTCTCTTTCTGCATTCCCATGCCCTGGAGAACCTCATACAACACTCTGGTTTTGGGGCAGAGGAAGCAGGAGAGCAGGAAACAGCAGAAAGAGCATGGATACAGGTGTCAGAAAACCAGGATTTTTGAGCCAATGGTTTGCCACTTTTTAGCCTGTGATAAGTCACATGCACTGTGTGAGCTCTATTTTCTCATCTGAAGAATGATGTGAGAGTAATATCTTCCAAGCCTACCTTATGGAGTGCTGTGTAATTTGGTGCAGTAATGAGTACATGAGAAGGTGATCCATAAACAACCACTTTTACATTTCTGGGTCTTCAATATGTCCCTGTTAAAAAGTATTTTTTGAATACTCTACAGAAATAACAAGCACTAACTGAGTTTTGTTGAGCATCATAAAATGTTAGAACTAGAAGAAATCTTTCAGATAATCTATCAATGTATTGTTCAGACTTAAGGAAAATCCCAGATCTGCCTCAAATCTTGCCCTCTCAGAAACTATTTTACATAAAACCAAAAGGCTTATTTGGAACCTTTGTGTCATGAGAAACAAAGACTCATTCAGTTCTTTCAGGAGGAAAAATAGAGAGAGTAGGTTATTACAAAGGCACACATGGACTGTGGAGGTGAGAGCTCATGGAAATAATAGTAACACTGATAATAGCACTTTAGTGCTTTCTATGTTCCATATATTATTTCTTTTCATCTTTGCAACAAACGTATGAATTGTGTTCTACATTTTCCAATTGAGAAGACAGAGGCTTAGACAGGTTAAATATCTTACACCATTGCACAGCTATGTTGTGCCAAACTGAAATATGAACTAGGGTCTCCAGAACTGTGCTTGTAACTTGTATGACATGTTCTTCCATGAACACAAACTTCAGGGCAGCTGGTCCCCTGGGAACCAGTGCCAGGAAGGGTTTGCTGAATGACACAGAGAAGCATGATCTCTCTCTTGTAGCATCTGCTTCTCTATCAGCTTCTGTGCTGTCCTTTGCTCCCAGGCT